>NC_000006.12:23090303-23393333 GCF_000001405.40 Homo sapiens
CAACTGCAAGAAATTCTTTGTCTAATAGATTATATTTCTAAATGCTGGATTTCCAAGGTTTATCAAGAAACCCTTCTTAGAAGATTCATTGCATTTACTCTCAGTGCCTATGTCCCACAGAACAAATACATATTCTCTTAATGTTTAAAAATACTATTACTGACATTCTTCCCAATGTACTCTTGATGCAGAATAGCAGTTCCTTTTAGCTATAGTAGCAAGTGATTCTCATGACTCAGCCTCCCAAGTAGGTGGAATTACAGGCGTGAGCCACCACACCTGGCTTACTTTTGTTTTTTTAGTACAGCCGGAGTTTCACCATATTGGCCAGAGTGGTATCAAACTCTTGACCTCAGATGATCTGCCTACCCGGGCCTCTCAAAGCGCTGGGATTACAGGCATTAGCCACTGTGCCCAGCCTCCAATTACTCTTAATTTCTTAGCTCTCTTGAATGGCTTCACCTCCTTCCTTATCAAATATCAATTACGATAGTTTTGTTTAATTTACTCTTGTGGTTATCTTTCATTCATAGCTTGATTTTTATTTGTACCTGGGGTTGGCTTCATTTTGTCTATGTCAAAACACCTTTTTGATGTTTAAGTAAAATATTGCATGAAATAGAAACTTGATTGTGCTTTTATGATACTACTCTAATTTTTTAAGAGTGATAATTCAATTTCTGCAACCTTTATACATTGTTTGAATGGAATAACTGTCATCTGTTTGTTTGCTATGAGGTGGGGATTGAGACAATTTATGATTAAATAAATTAGGTGTGGAATTGCTTTCTCTATTGTTCCTGCCAAAGGAGCTCCCTTTTTTCACTCTTTAAATAAACTATTGGATTAGAGATCCCACTTCACTCAGGTTCTGACAAGGATGAACAAGCTGTCAGTCTCCAAATTACAAATGGATTGTATCACTAAAATGCATTTTTTATCTGCTTTTGGTTTTGTGAATCCCCAATAAGTTTTACTTGGCAATGATATTCTATACAAGTTAATATAAACCCCAAATTTTTCATGTGAGGAATGAATTGTGGGGGATATTTCAGGCTTTTTGCTCTTTCGTATTTCTTATTTTTTTCAGATTTTCTCTTCTATTTTTATTACACTTTCTCTTTGACATTTCTGAGGCTTTCTGTCCTTTGATTTCTCCAATTACTTCTTTTTTTAAATTTCTTTTCTTTCCTTTTTTTTTTTTTTTTGAGGCAGACTCACTCTATTGACCAGGCTGGTGTACGGTAGCATGATCTCAGCTCACTGCAACCTCTGCCTCCTGGGTAGCTATAGTAGCAAGTGATTCTCGTGCCTCAGCCTCTCAAGTAGATGGGGATTACAGGCATGAGCCACCAACCCAGCTTATTTTTGTATTTTTAGTAGAGCTGGAGTTTCACCATGTTGTCCAGGCTGGTCTTGAACTCCTGACCTCGGGTGATCTGCCCACCCCGGCCTCCCAAAGTGCTGGGATTACAGGCTTTAGCCACTGTGCCCAGCCTCCAATTACTCTTAATCTCTTAGCTCTCTTGCATGGCTTCGCCTCCTTCCTTACCAAATATCAAACCATTTTTCCATCAACTCCACACTCATCACAATATCAGCTTTTTACTTTCTGCTACAAACATCTATGAAGTCATCATTTCTGCATCCTCTGCTCTGGCGTATTTATGATCTGGGTCTTCACTTGAATAGGCAACAGTCTTTGGTAATCCTCTTTCAACCTTTCACAATTTTCTTTAGTTCTTCTGACTCATTCTCACTCCCATTCTTTCACTCTCAGAAGGAAATTTTTACTTTTTCCTTACAGAAAAATTAGAAACAACTGTCCTACATTCCCTAAATTTGCCATGTATGTAAACATTCGTCCTTACCTTACCTTATTTATACCTCTTTCAGAGGAAAAGTTGTTTTTTCTTGAACTGAGTTTAATCCTCCCATCTAGTCTTTGTATTTTTCCTTCACCCTTCCTAAACACCTTTCTTCAACACTAATCCTTTCTCATAGGTTTCATCCACTTATTCTCCATTGGCCCTTTTAAAATATGTATTTGAAAGTACGCTCCTTGGCAGTTTATGGCAGCATAATTTAACAATATGTATTTGAAACATTTTCTCATGTTGATTTTTAAACAAATAAAAGAATTTCTCAGCTTTTTCTCTCCTTTCCCATTTTTACATCTCAGCCAGGCCTCTAAAAGATTGGTCCAGTGATGGAAGAGCTCCAGAAGTCAAGGTCCAGGATGTGACCACGAAGACTGAACAATGTGACCCGTGTGCAGTGAACTGAAGGCAGACGGAACAGGACAAGAGAGAAATGAATTGAGGGACTATCATGCAAGATTGACTGTCAAAGCAAAGTTTAAAGTCACCTAAAATAAAAGTCCAATTTAACCAGATGGAAAAGACTATGACCAGGCACTAAAATATTAGTAAATGAGCAAGAGTAATCAGAAAATCCATGGATGACTATGAAGGGGCTGCAAAGGGCTTGGCATAAACTGCCAAGGAGCATAATTTTTACTCATAGGAGACAAAAAATAGTGTATAATTCAGAATGGAGATCAGAAGAAAGTCAACTCTGATTGCCAGATTCAAAGTCCATGGGATACTGGTGAACTTGCAGACTTCAAATGAAAGAGCTTCAGGAGAAAAATGGATTTTCATGGAAGAATCAACTTTCAGTTAATGTACAGAAGAGGAAAGGATGTTAAATGAAGAGCTCATAAATGAGGAAGAAGAGTTTCCTTAATGTTTTCTTTTAGTAGTTTCATAGTTTGAGGTCTCAGATTTAAGTATCGAATCCATTTTGATTTGGTTTTTGTATGTGTTGCGAGATAAGGGTCTGGTTTAATTTTTCTGCATACGGGGATCCAGTTTTCCCAGCACCATTTAGAGACTGTCCTTTCCCCAATATGTGTTCTTGGCACCTTTGTCAAAAATGAGTTTACTATAGATGTGTGGATTTCTTTCTGAGCTCTCCATTCTGTTCCATTGATCTATGTGTTTGTTTTTATGCTAGTATCATGCTGTTTTAGTTACTATATAGATCTACAGTATAATTTGATGTCAGGTATTGTACCTTGCACATTTAAAAATAACTTTAAAAGCATAATTGGAATGTTTGTAACACAAAGAAATGATAAATGCTTGAGGCAATGGATATCCCATTTACCCTGATGTGATTATTACACATCGTATGCCAGTATCAAAATATCTCATGTACACCATAAATATATACACCTACTATGTAACCATAAAAATTCAAAATAGGTCGGGTACAGTGGCTCATGCCTGTAATCCTAGCACTTTGGGAGGCCAAGGCAGGGGGATCACGAGGTCAAGAGATCAAGACCATCCTGGCCAACATGGTGAAACCCCGTCTCGACAAAAATACAAAAATCAGCTGGGCGTGGTGGCATGCACCTGCAGTGCCAGCTACTTGGAAGGCTGAGGCAGGAGAATCACTTGAACCAGGGAGGTGGAGGTTGCAGTGAGCCAAGATCGTACCATTGCACTCCAGCCTGGCGACAGAGCGAGACTCCATCTCAAAATAAATAAATTAATTAATTAAGAAAAATGAATAAGTTGGTAACTATAGATCAGAGTGTACCAAAGGCACATGGAGGGGAGTACTGAGCAATGAAGTTAGGCCAAGAAAGAAGGATCCTGGATCCTGGAGCAGTACGTGTAAGAGAACACAGATTACAGATGAGCAGAAAGGCTCAGACTTCGGCATTGAGCAAAGATAACAGATTTGAGTAATGTCAGAGAAAACTGTCCACTAACTTTCAAAATTGGCCATAGCAGTATATTATTCATTTGGGAACGACTGGCCATGGCTTGGGTAACAATAATTCTGAAGGTATTTAACGAGAAAATTCTGACTTGGGTTGATTGCATTGGCTCTGATGATGGGCTCTGGGTGTAAGTTTTCTAAACACAGGCTCCCTCCACTGTACTATATAAGCTGAAGAGTGAGGGTAGAGATGTAATGGTTGGAGGTCTGATCATAGAAGCTGAGAGAAGCTCATCACTAATTCAAGCTTTATAAATCTATGGGAGTCACTGACCACCAGCACCTTCAGTGACAGTCTCCAGTCTTGTACTAATTGACTTGAGATGCAATGGGTTTGCATTACTGATATGTTTTGGCTGTGTTCTCACCCAAATCTCATGTTGAATTGTAGCTCCCATGATCCACACATGTTGTGGGAGGGACCCAGTAGGAGGCAATTGAATCATGGGGGCAGGTTTTTCCTATGCTGTTCTCATGATGGTGAATAAGTCTCACGAGATCTGATGGTTTTATAAAGGGGAGTTCCCCTGCACATGTTCTCTTGCCTGCTGCCATGTAAGATGGGCCTTTGTTCCTTCTTCACCTTATGCCATGATTATGAGGCCTCTCCAGTCCGGTGGAACTGTGAGTCCATTAAACCTCTTTTTCTTTGTAAATTACGCAGTCTCAGGTATGTCCTTACAGCAGCTTGAGAACAGACTAATACAGTAAATTGGTACTGGTAGAGTGGGGTGCTGCTATAAGGATACCCAAAAATGTGGAACCAACTTTGGAACTGGGTAACAGGCAGAGATTAAAACAGTTTGGAGGGCTCAGAAGAAGAGAGGAAAATTTGGGAAAGTTTGGAACTTCCTAGAAACTTGGAGAGCTCAGAAGACAGGAAGATGTGAGAAAGTTTGAAAATTCCTAGGGACTTGTTGAATGGCTTTGACCAAAATACTGACAGAGATATGGACAATGAAGTCCAGGTTGAGGTGGCCTCAGATGGAGATGGAGAACTCATTGGAAACTGGAGCAAAGGTGATTCTTGCTATGCTTTTGCAAAGAGACTGGCAGCATTTTGCCCCTGCCTAGAGATCTGTGTAACTTTGAATTTGAGAGAGATGATGTAGGGTATCTGGTAGAAGAAATTTCTAGGTAGCAAAGCATTGAAGAGGTGACTTGAGTGCTCTTAAAATCATCCAGTTTTATTCATTCATGAAGATACGGTTTGGAATTGGAACTTATATTTAAAGAGGAAGTAGAGCATAAGAGCTGAGAAAATTTGCAGCCTGATGATGTGATAGAAAAGAAAAACCCATTTTCTGAGAAGAAATTCAAGCCAGCTGCAGAAATTTGCATAAGTAACAAGGAGCCAAATGTTAATCACCAAGACAATGGGGAAAATGTCTCCACGGCATGTCAGAGGTCTTCACAGTTGCCCTATCCATCACAAGCCTGGAAGCCTAGGAGGAAAAAATGGTTTCATGGGCTGGGCCCAGGGCCTTGAGGTTTTGTGCAGTCTCCAGACTTGGTGCTCTGCCTCCAAGCCATTGCTAAAAGGGGCCAATGTACCGCTCAGGCCATTGTTTCAGAGGATGCAAGCCTCAAGCTTTGGCAGCTTACATGAGATGTTGGGCCTGCAGGTACACAGAAGTCATGAATTGAGATTTGGAAACTTCAGCCTAGATTTCAGATGATGTATAGAAACGTCTGGATGTCTAGGCCAAAGTGTGCTGCAGGGTCAGAACCCTCATGGAGAACCTTTGCTAGGGCAGTGCAGAAGGGAAATGTGGGGCTGGAGCCCCCACACAGAGTCCCCACTGGGGCACTGCCTAGTGGAGCTGTGAGAAGAGGACCACTGTTCTCCAGACCCCAGAATGATAGATCCACTGAGAACTTGCATTGTACACCAGGAAAAGCCACAGACACTCAATGCCAGCCCATGAAAGAAGCCAGGAGAAGGGCTGTACCCTGCAAAACCACAGGGACAGAGATGCCCAAGTCCATGGGAACACACCTCTTGCATCGATGTGATCTGGATGTGAGACATGGAGTCAAAGGAGATCATTTTGTAGCTTTAAGATTTGACTGCCATGCTGGATCTTGGACTTGCATGGAGTCTGTAACCCCTTCGTTTTGGCCAATTTCTCCCATTTAGAGCACATGTATTTACCCAATGCCTGTACCCCAATTGTATCTAGGAAGTAACTAACTTGCTTTTGATTTTACAGGCTCATAGGTGGAAGGGACTTGCCTTGTCTCAGATGAGACTTTGGACTGTGGACTTTTGAATTAATACTGGAATGAGCTAAGACTTGGGGGACTGCTGGGAAGGCATGATTGGTTTTGAAATGAGAGGACATAAGATTTGAAAGGAGTCAGGGGTGGAATTACATGGTTTGGCTGTGTCACCACCCAAATCTCATCTTGAATTATAGCTCCTGTAATCTCCATGTGTCATGGGAGCGATCTGGTTGGAGGTAATTGAATCATGGGTATGGGTTTTTCCCTGGTGTTCTTATGATAGTGAATAAGTCTCACAAGATCTAATGGTTTTATAAAGTGAAGTTCCCCAGTACAGGACCTCTTGCCTGCCATCATGTAAGATGTGCTTTTGCCTTCTATCATGATTTTGAGGCCTCCCTAGGCATGTGATACTATGAGTCCATTAAACCGCTTTTTCTTTATAGATTCCCCAGTCTCATATATGTCCTTATAGCAGCTTGAGAATGGGCTAATACAATTACTCTGTATTCTATCTAGAAAACCCAAGAATTACGACTGCCACACATGCAATTATAGAAATGCTAATCATCCTCTCACTGTCTTTTTTTTCCCTAGTAGATACATATTTTTGTTTAAAATATAACCATTCCCCAAAAGTACTTGACTCTGTTCCCAATGCATTTACTAACAGAAAACAGAATTAGACCAACTTGGTCTCTGGATTTAATGTGCTTTGCAGACTTGTTAGGTTTAGCCGTAAATAATCTTACTCCCTATAGTGTGGGATGTTTAAAAGTGTTTTGCTGCATACACAGAGCAAAGCTTTCACAGTGGCTAGTCAGAAATAAGCAAAGGGACAGATTTAAAGTTGAGAAGATGAGGAATATAAACAAAAGAGTTCTACTTAGTTAACCTAAATATGGAAATAAAGTAAAACCAAGAGGCCTGGTAAGGGTAGCCATGTTGCAATTTCCAGTTTTCATCCAGATATTTCATATCAGGTAGATCCTGTCACTAGTATCACACTTGCTATAAAGCATATTATAGTCTTTCTCTTCTGCAAATTTTGCTCATGCTGTTGTTATGTGTCTTATGATGGAAAGACTTCCAAAGGGGGAAAGCAGTTTTCTTCATGTCAAATATAATAAACCCAAACCAGGTAAGTCAGTTTTGTAGCCTGGAATCCTATTTGTTTGCATTAGGTTGACTTTCTCATATATCTTCCACCAGTAATATCAGACTGTATATCCATTCTGATGATGTATAAATGGAAAATTTTCCGTGTAAAATCATATGGGAACTTTCACAAGATCACTTTGACATGCTTTTCCCCTTATTTTTTTCCTGCTGTGATTTTGGAAGGCTGTATTTTTTTTCTCCTGTTAAAATGATTAGTGCTTTAAGTGAATGAGATCACTTACTGAAATAAAAATCCAGCCAAGCCATAGTCTCATATCATGATCTCATACAGGCTCAGTCTCAAGAGAGGCCCCCTGAGAGATTTTGCAAAAATTGTTCATCCAATTGTTGTATGCAGCCTCTATTCAGAAAGGAAACGTGCTTGACAAAATTTTGTAAAAAGGGCCCCTGGATGCCAAAAACAATATAAATTCATGTGTGCCTTAATATAGGCTGCTATCTTGCAAAAATAATCTTCCTCTATTGCACATGTAAAACCTGAAGGTGTTGCATGAAACACCTGAAGACCTATGTAATCATCACTCTCTGCCTAGCAAGAAACCTAAGGTGCTGAGCTCTGTACATGGCTCTGTGCCTACAATCAATGGGGCATCTGGGGATGCCTAGGCTTCCTCGCAGCTTCACTTGACTTCAGAGATTTCTGATTACTGTTCCTCTGACACATACATTTTCTAATTTTCCAGTCATTAAATACTCACAAGTAGGGATAGTGGTCAACGAACATGTCTTACAGTCAAGTAAGTAGTTCCAAAATGATCATGAAAATGTGAGTTAAGTAATAATTTTTGGCTTTCCTGCAGGGTTAATCTAGAAAACACTGCAAAGTAGTACCCACCACTTCACTGAGCTCTCTCTCATAGTTCTTCCCTTTTTCCTTCCTTGTCAGAGTCTTTTTCTTTTCACTCTAACTTTCCTCCCCATTACTTCCCATTCTCTGCAACTTGCTCCCTCAAATCCTTCTTCTCCCTCAAAAACGCACTTCATTTTGCCTACAAACCAGATTTTTTTGTATTGAGGTAAAATTTACATAAAGTTGAAATGCATCAGTCTTAAGATAACAATTTGATACATCTTAATATATCAACATACCCTTGTTAACTGCTTAATCAAGGCATAGAATACTTCCAAACGCCTGAGAAAGTTGTCCTGTATCACCTTGTAGCCCACCTACCCCAAAGGCAACCATTGCTTTGATTTCTATTGTCATGGATTAGTTTTGCTTTGGTTTTGAACTTTTTACAGAATAACATATAACATATCCTTATTTCTTTCTGGCTTCTTTCAATTAACATAATGATTTTGAGATTCATCCATGTTGTCATATGCATCAACAGTAGTTACTTTATTACTACTGTGTAGTACTCCATGATATGAATATTCCATGATTTATTTAATAGGCTTGCCTGATGAACAGTTTGGTTTTTTCTAGGTTTTGATATTTTGAATGAAGCTGCTACAAACAAAGTCTTATACAAGTCTTTTAGGATATTTCTCTTGGAAAAATAATTAGGAATGAATAGTTGAGTACATTTAACTTTATAAGAAAAAGTCAAATAGTTTTCAAAATGGTTGTACCATTTCACACATCCACTAGAAATGTATGAGTGTTCCATTGCCAGACTGTGCCCAATATTTGTTCTTTTTTAATCCAGCTATTCTAGTGAGTATAAAATGCTGTCATATACTGGTTTTAATTACCCTGATAAATAATAATATTAAGCACTTTTTCATATGCTTATTAACCACTCCTAGACATTCTTTTGTGAAATAATTGTCTTTTGTCTATATTTGATGAAAGGAGAGTTGTCTTTTTAATTGTTTTGTTATTATATATTTAAGGTACAAGTTTTTTTGTTTAAAATACACGCATTTCAACTATGTTGTCTCATTTTGTGGCCAGCCTCTTCATTTTTTTGTGGAGTCTTTAAAAAAATTTTTTTTAATTTTATTATTTTGTTTTTAGAGACTGAGTTTCACTATGTTTTCCAGGCTGGTCTCAAACTCCTGAGCTCAAGCAATCCTCTCACCTCAGCCTCACAAAGTTCTGGGATTACAGGCATGAGCAACTGAGCCAGGGTGCACATTCTTTTATCTATTCCTTAGCCTTTTGCCTGTGATGTTATTGTAAATGGGATATTAAATTTTTATTTTCAATTACTGGCTGTTGTTCTATAGAAACACAATTGATTTAAGGATATTGATGCTGTGTCTTAAGAACTTGCTAAATACATTTATAAGTTTGGCAATTGTTTTGAAGACTCCCTATGATACTCTACATAAACAGCCATATTGTATGTAAATAAAGACGATTTTGTGTGTTTTTTTTTCCCAATCATTATTGCATCTCATCCCCCTATTTCATTGGCTATACTTTCAGTATAATGTTAAGTAAAACTGATGAGTAAGTACAACTAGTATCGTTCTGAATATTAAAAGGAAAACATCCAGTATTATATCATTGCTTTTAATTTTCGCTATACGTTTGTGCAGATGCTGTTTATCAGATTGAGAAAATTTTATTCTATTCTTAGTTTGCTGAGAAACTTTATCATCAATGGATGTTGAATAATATCAAATGTTTATTTCTAAATTTTAGTAGTTTATTGAGCTAAAATTGACATACAATTTGATAAGACTTTTTTTTTTGGAGTTGGAGACAAGGTCTCACTTTGTCACCCAGGCTGGAGTGCAGTGGCATGATCTGGGCCTCTGAGATTCAAGTGATCCTGCTGCCTCAGCCCCCCAAGTACCTGGGACTACAGGTGTGCACCACCACGTCTGGCTAATTTTTGTATTTTTTGTAGAGACAGAGTTTCACCATGTTGCCCATCTAGTCTTGAACTCCTGAGCTCAAGTGATTTTCCTGCCTCTGCTTCCCAAAGTGTTAGGATTACAGGCATAAGCCACTGTGCCCAGCTGTAAGCCTTGATATAAGAATACACCTGTGAAACGACATCACCACACTCAAAATAATGAACATTTCAAACATCTCCATTTATTTAGGTTTTCTTTCTTAGCGCCGCTTTGTAGTTTCCAGTGCTTCAGGTTGTAAATGCCTTATGTTAGATTTGTTGCTAAGTGGCTCATACTTTTGTTGCTTCTGTAAGTGAATGTTAATTTCAATTACCAATCATACCTAGTATATGGAAATGTATTTTATATTTTTATATTCACCTTGTATTCTGTAAACTTGCTAAATTCACATATTAGTTCCAGTTGGATTTTTGTAGATTCTCTAAGTTTTAATACAGATTATTATGTCACCTGTGAATAATAAGTGTTTTACTTTGTCATTTTCAATTTAGATGCCTTTTATTTCCTTGTGCTGACTTAATCGTAGTGGCTAGAGACTCCATGGCAATGTTAAATAGAAGTGGTGTCCTTGCCTTGCCTTGTTTACATCTATGTTTATAAAAGAAATTGATCTATAAATTTATTTTCTTGTAATGTCTTCATCTGGTTTTGCTCTCAGAGTAATGTTGGCTTCATAGAGTAAATTACTAAGAATTCTCTCCTATCCAATATTCTAGAAGAGTTGTGAAGGCTCAGTATTATTTTTTTCTGAATGTGCTTATTTATTCTCTGCTTTCACCCATGAAGCCATTTGTGGCTGGAGATCTTGTAGGAAGATTTTTAACTACAAATTTGAATTTATTTATAGATATGGGGCTATACAAGTTATCTATTTATTCTAATGTAGGCTTTGGTAGTTTGTGTATTTCAAGGATTTTTTTCATTTTATCTAAGTTACCTAATTTATTGGCACAAAATTGTTTATAATATTTTCTTATTATCCTTTTAAATCTGTGATATCTGTAGTGGTCACTTTTCTTACAGAAAACAGTATTAATTTTTGTCAAACCCTTTTTTCCTGATCAGGCTGACTTGAGGTTAATCCATTTTATTAATCTCAAACAACCAGCTTTTGATTTTGTCATTTTTGTTCTATTTTTTTTCTCCATTTCACCTATTTCTGCTTTGATAGTTATTATTTTTTCTTCTGCTTACTTTAATTTGCTCTTTTTTCTAAAAAAGATTTTAAAGTTAAACATTGAGGTCATTGATATGAATTTTTTTCCAATTTTTACATGGACATTGAGTTCTGTAAGATTCCCTGTAAATATTGCCTCCCTCATTCCACAAATTTTGATGACTTTCATTTTCATCTGGTACAAAAAACATCTAATTTCTCCTTCGATTTCTTCTTTGATCTGTGAGTTATCAAGAAGTGCATTATTTCATTTCCAAATACTTGTAAATGACTTCTAATTCTGTTGTGGGTAGAGAAGACACTTTTACTAACTCAAATATTTTGAAATGTATTCAGACTTGTCATATAGCACAGAATACGGTCCATCTTGGTAAACGATTTGTGTGCACATGAAAAAAAGTGCATATTCTGCTGTTGTGTGCTTTGTTCTATAACTGGCAATTAAATAAAAGTGGCGAATAAGTTATATTTTCCATGTATTCAGAACTTTATGACTTTCAGTTTCTTCTAGCAATTACTGGAGGTAAACAATTAACGAGGAAGAAAATGTAAACCAAACATAGGAATAATTACTTTAAGAATAAATTATATAAGCAAGGCAATTAGGAATAAAACTGTATATTTAAGAAGAACGAATCTGCTATATCTACATATACAAAATACATAAAAAATATTATGAGTGAGTAATGCCTCAAAAATACACAACAATTCTAAATGGGTGTGTACCTTATAACAGACTTCAAATTCATGAAGCCAAAACTGATAGAACAGAAATAATAAGCTATCTTTATTGTCATAATTATTAACACTCAGGTCACAGTAATTGATAGAAAAAGTTGACAGAAAATCAGTAAAAATGTAGAATACTTGAACAATACTATCAATGAAATTGACGTAATTGGTATTTATAAAATACTTTACTCATAAATAGCAGAAAATAAGTTATTAGTAAGTGAACACAGAATATTCACAATCAGGTCATATTTTGGGTGATAAGTATCAGTAATTTTAAAAGGTTTGAAAACATAAATGATATATTATTTAACCAACACAGAATTAATGTAGAAATCAAAACCATAAAAAATTGGAAAATCCCCAAATATATGAAAATTGAATAATGAATTTCTACACACCCACAGTTCATGTGATAAATTACACGGCTCTCTTGCCCATCTTGCAAAATGGTGAGTGAAAAATTTGAGCAGACCGATACTAAAAAGAAGAAACCTGAAGCCAAGAAGGCTAAGGCCAGTGGTTAGGTTAAAAATATTAACCTGAAGGCTAAACAGCCCAAGAAGAGGAAGCTTCACTGCAGACAAAATCCTGTCATCATCATCATTGAAGGAATTAGCAAACATTCCCAATCTGCTACGTATTTCTGAAGGGTCATATTCAAGATGAAGTACTTAGCTGCTGAATCCAGGGTTTAAAAAAAAACATGGATGGAGGTTCTTGCCACTGTCCCAGAACCAGTTGGTGGTCATACGAATGTGGTACCTGAGTGGTTAAACTTCACAAAATGCCTAGATACTATTCTACTGAAGATAAGCCTCAAAAGCTGTTGAGCCACAACAAAAACTCCTCCAGTCAGCATGTGAAAAAAATGTGAGCTAGCAACTCTCCTAGGACCATTCTGCTCATCCTGACTGGACACTACAGGGCAATAGACTGGTTGCTCTAAAGCAGTTGAGCAGTGGCTTGTTACTTGTGACTGAACCTATTGTTCTTAATCAGTTTCTTCTGCATGGAACACACCAGAAATTTGTCATTGCCACCTCCACAAAAATTGATATCAATGATGCAAAAATAACCCAACATCTCACTCATGTTTACTTTAAGAAGCAGCCATGGAAGCTCAGAAACCAGAAAGATGAGATCTTAGACATAGAAAAAGAGAAAGATGAGATTACAGAGCAGTGCAAGATTGATCAGAAAGCTGTGGACTTGCAAAAGTTACCAAAAATTAAAATTATTCCTCAGCTCCAGGACTACCTGTGATCTGTGTTTGTCCGATGAATGGCGTTTATCCTCACAAATTGGTTTTCTAAATTTCTTACAAAGAACCTAATTAAATAACTGATATATTTTTGTAAGAAAAGGAGTAAAAAAGAAATTACACAGCAAGTTAGAAAATATTTTGAACCTAATGAATTTTAAAATATCAAAACTTGTGATGTGTAACTGCAATGAACTAAATGTTTGCCATTTCCCACCAAAAAAAAAATTTCTGTTGAAATCCTTGTGTATTTCAAGGATTTTTTTCATTTTATCTAAGTTACCTAATTTATTGGCACAAAATTGTTTATAATATTTTCTTATCCTTTTAAATCTGTGATATCTGTAGTGATGTCACTTTTCTTACAGAAAACAGTATTAATTTTTGTCAAACCCTTTTTTCCTGATCAGGCTGACTTGAGGTTAATCCATTTTATTAATCTCAAACAACCAGCTTTTGATTTTGTCATTTTTGTTCTATTTTTTTTCTCCATTTCACCTATTTCTGCTTTGATAGTTATTATGTTTTTCTTCTGCTTACTTTGATTTAATTTGCTCTTCAGTTTTATGATTTAAAATTGATGATTAATAGAATGATTATAGAAAGTGGAGACTTTGGGGCCGGGCGCAGTGGCTCACGCCTGTAATCCCAGCACTTTGGGAGGCCGAGGCGGGTGGATCATGAGGTCAGGAGATCGAGACCATCCTGGCTAACGAGGTGAAACCCCGTCTCTACTAAAAATACAAAAAATTAGCCAGGCGTGGTGGCGGGCGCCTGTAGTCCCAGCTACTCGGGAGGCTGAGGCAGGAGAATGGCGTGAACCCGGGAGGCGGAGCTTGCAGTGAGCCGAGATTGCGCCACTGCAGTCCGCAGTCCGGCCTGGGCGACAGAGCGAGACTCCGTCTCAAAAAAAAAAAAAAAAAAAGAAAGTGGAGACTTTGGGAGGTAATTAGGTCATATGTGTGGAATTCTCATGAATGGGATTAGTGCCCTTACAAAAGGGACCCCAGAGAACTCTCTTGCCCTTTTTGTTTTGTTGTTGTTGTTGTTATGTAAAAATGCAACAAGAAGTTAGTCTGTAACTCACAAGAGGGTAATCTGTAGAACCTGACTGTGCTAGCTGGCAGCCTGATCTCTGACTTCCAGACTCCAGAAGTGTGAGACATTTGTTGTTAAGCCACCCAGTTAACTATGGCAATTTTTTCTGGCAGTCAAACAGACTAAGACAATAATTAAAGGGAAAGTCTTAAATCAATATTGTAAGCTTCTTACTTAAGAACATGGCAAAAAAAGAGCACATTAGCAGAAAGAAAGCAAAAAGGAAAAATAGTGAACATAAGAAATTAATTACATGGAAAAGAGAAAAACAATAGAGAAAAATAAATTAACCCAAAAACTGGTTCTACGTAATGGCCAACAAAAATAATAAACTTTCAGCACAAGTCTGATCAGGAAAAAGAAAGCAAATACAGTATACGAATTACCAACAGGAGCAATGAAAGAGGGGGAATCACTAAAGATTCCACTGCCATTAAAGGTTAATAAGAGAATATTATAATCAATTTTATACCAACAAATTCTACAATGTAGATGAAAGAGACATATTTGTTGAAAGACGCAACCTACCAAAACTCACTCAAGGGGAAACTGATAACATTGACTAGCCATATGTCTATTAATAGATTAAATTTGTAGTTTAATTTATTGCCTCAAAGGAAATTCCAGGGTCAAATAACTTCAGTGGTTATGTCTTGCAAATTTAAAGAAGAACTGACAACAATTTCACATAAAACTTTCAATAAAAATTATAAAAGAGAAAAAACTATTTCTAAAATTTATGAAGTCTGTATTTTGATGATTCAAAGACCAGAAAGATGTAACAAGAAAAGAAAAATCACAGGCCAATACCACTAATGAAAATAGATGTAAACATCTATTAAAATATTAAGTAAATTGAATTATGCAATGTAGAAATAGAGAAATATGTCATGATCAAGTACAGTTCTTCCCAGAGATGCAGAGTTAGTTTAATTTTTAAAAAATCAATGTAATACTCACCATATTAACAACCCCAAAAAGAAAAAGATGAAGAAAAACATTTGACAAAATTTACTCCTATTAATGATAAAAACTCTTACTAAACTAGGAATAAAATGGCACTCTTCTAGCTACTGGTGTACATATATACAAATCCTACTGCTAACATACTAAATAGAAAGAGACTGAATTTTTTCTATTCAGAAACAAGGCAAGGATATATATTCTTACCATTTCTATTTAACATTGTATTTAAGTTCCTGGCCAATACAATAAGGAAAGACAAACAACTATATAGAGTTAAGTGGAAGAAGAAACACATCTTTATTCACAAATAACATGATCGTCTATGTAAAAAAAAATCCAAATAAATCTAATAAGAACAGCATGGTACATCATAATACAAAAACAGACACATAGATCGATGGAACAGGACAGAGAACCCAGAAGTAAAGCCACACAGACATACAACCATCTGATCTTTCACAAAGTCAATAAAAACAAGCAATGGGGGAAGGACTCCCTATTCAATAAATGGTGCTGGGATAACTAGCTAGCCATGTGCATGAGAATGAAACTAGACCCCTACATTTCAACATAAAAAAAAATTAACCCAAGACTGATTAAACACTTAAATTTAATACCTCAAATTATAAAACTCTTAGAAGAAAACCTAGGAAATACCACCTGTACATCAACCTTTGGCAAATAATTTATGACTAAGTCCTTAAAAGTAATTGCAACAAAACAAAAATAAACAAATGAGATCTAATTAAACCAAAGAGCTTTTGCACAGCAAAAGAAACTATCAACAAAGTAAACAGACAATCTACAGAATGAGAGAAGATATTTGCAAACTATGCATCCAACAAAGGTCTATACTGGGCATATACCCAAAGGATTATAAATCATGCTGCTATAAAGACACATGCACAGGTAGGTTTATTGTGGTACTATTCACAATAGCAAAGACTTGGAACCAACACAAATGTCCATCAATGATAGACTGGATTAAGAAAATGTGGCACATATACACCATGGAATACTATGCAGCCATAAAAAGGATGAGTTCATGTTCTTTGTAGGAACATGGATGAAGCTAGAAACCATCATTCTGAGGAAACTATCACAAGGACAAAAAAACCAAACACCACATGTTCTCACTCATAGGTGGGAATTGAACAATGAGAACACTTGGACACTGGGTGGGGAGCATCGCACAACGGGGCCTGTCGTGGGGTGGGGGGAGGGGGGAGGGATGGCATTGGGAGATATACTTAATGTAAATGACGAGTTGATGGGTGCAGCATACAAACATGGCACATGTACACATATGTAACAACCCTGCACATGGTGCACATGTACCCTAGAATGTAAAGTATAATAATAATAAAAAAACCCAAAGTTCTAATATTCAGAATCTGTAAGAAAATTAAACAATTCAACAAGCAAAAAACAACAAAGGACAGGCAAAAGACATAAACAAACAGTTTTCAAAAGAAAACCTACAAGTGGCCAACAAATATATGAAAAAATTCTCCACACTACTAATCATCAGAGACATGCAAATCAAAACCACAATGAGATTCCATCACACACCAGTCAGGATGGCTATTACTAAAAAGTAAAACAAACAAACGAAAAACAGATGCTGACGGGGTTGTGGAGGAAAGAGAACACTTATACATTGTTGATGAAAATGTAAATTAGTTCAGCAACTGTGAAAAGCAGTTTGGAGATTTCTCAAAGAACTTAAAACAGAACTACCATTCAACTCAGCAATCCTATTACTGGGTATATACTCAAAGGAAAACAAATGGTTCTACCAAAAAGACACAAGCACATGTATGTCCATCGCAGCACTATTCACAACAGCAAAGACATAGAATCACCCTAGATGCTCATCAATGGTGGAATGGATAAAGAAAATGTGGTAAATACACATGATGGAATAATACACAGCCATAAAAAGAACAAAATCATGTCATTTGAAGCAACATGGATGTGGCTGGAGACCATTATTTTAAGCAAATTTCCACAGGGACAGAAAACCAAATACCACATGTTCTCTCATAAGTGGAAGCTAAACATTGAGTACACATGTACATAAAGATGGGAACAACAGACATTGGGGACTACTTGAGGGAGGAAAGAAGAAGGGAGACGAGGGTTAAAAAATTACCTATTGGGTACAATGCTCACTACCCAGGTGATGGGATCATTTGTACCACAAACCTCAGCATCATGCAAGCTATTAAGGAACTAAAAAGACAAGCAACAGAAAGGGGAAAATATTGGTAAAACATATATATGATAAAGGACTCATATCCAGAATATATAAAGAGCTCTTACAATTATAAAAGAAGACAAAAGCCCAATTTATAAATAGATCCAAAGAGTCAAATGACATTTCCATAGAGAAGATATGGAATGGCCAATAGGTACATGAAAAGATGTTCAGCATTACTGAAGGAACTACATTGTCTGGAGTACATACCCTGGGGTTTGTCATCTCATGCCAGGAAAATTTAGAACATGAACACGCACAAGAAGTTTAGCAGTGGAGGTTTAATAGGTAGAAAAGAAGAGAAAGAGAAACAGCTCTCTCTGTAGAGAGAGACGGGTCTCCAAGTGGAAAAGACTGGCAGGTGGCAAATGCGCTGTATTTTATAGTCAGGTTTTAGAAGGCGATGTCTGATTTACGTAGGGCTCACAGATTGGTTCGATCAGGCATGACATTTACATAGCACATAGGGAAGGCTGGCCACCCCGCCCTAATCTTATTATGCAAATGAACTCTTCTGTTGACCAGCACCATCCTGTATGCTCCTTACTGTACATGTGGCTGATAAAGAGAAGGGAAGATGGAGCTGCCATTTTGAACATGATTGGCACAACTGCTAATTTATGTCTACAACTAGATTTTACAGGCTACTCTTCGTTAGAAAGGAAAATGATTTGGGGCTACTTTTCATTAAAAGGAAAACCGTACCAAGGACTTCCGTAACCTCACTATATGCCTATGTAATTTCTTCTTAACTCCAGTATCAATCCCCGCTCTGGAGTGGTAACTAACTGCTGTTAAGGGGTGTTGGGCAACAACTCTTTCTGGTACCTCTTGCTGAAAAAGAGTGATGTGTGGGGAACAGCAGCTAAGGCTCCCCCTGGGGTCAATCTAAGGGTCCTCAGAAGAAAGGCATGTCCATGCATGGTTCTGTCTGCAGCATCATTTTGAATTTGATTGCTGTCAGCAATTCCAGTGGGTTGTAACACTAGTTTGCCTCCACCAGATGTTGCTGAAACGTTAATATGAAAGTGATATTCATTTTTGGATAAGTGGCATTGGATTGGGGTGGCTAGAGTAACTTTAGTGTTAACCTTGGCTAAATCTTTCCTGCAATTATTAATCCCTTCATGACTTCCACAGACAGTCTAAGACATGCTTAAACTTTCTGATTTGTCCTAAACATCCTTCTTTTAAACAACCAACAATTCTCTTCAGGACAAGTATTTACCATACAAGATCATTTCTTATATAGAATCTCTTTCCTTTATAACCTTCTTTGCATAGCCAGAGTGTGACATATTACCAAACCCAATAGTAACAGACTCAGGGATTGTAAAACTTTCATGTTCCCTTTTTATTTGTAACTATTAACCCTGCTATAAGGATAATAATTAAGCAAAATACTAGAGCAATGGAAACCAATATTTCAGTTAGAAGGTGCTACTGTGTATAGCTCCCAGCAAATAGTAAAGTGAGTAGCAGTTCCTCAAAGGGTGATGTAGTAGATTCTTTCCATCTAAAATTTTACTTGCCAAGATGTAGAATTTCTGTCTGGGGGGTCTACGAAGTTCCTTGGTTTTATTTTCCCAAACAAAGAAACCTCTGGGTTATGGGCACCATACTCACTTTAATTACCAGACCTGTTAGAAAGGGACATTCTTTACCGACCACAGGTTAGGAACTTTCTATGGGGACTGTTTAGACAAGGTATGAGGCAGGCCATTTCTCCTCATGGAGTATTTACTGGCTCTGCAATTTGAGATTGTCTCCTTAAAGGGAAGCATACCCTTCCAGTCAAAGTCTTGATAAAACAACCAGTTTTTCCAATTGCATCCTGTTGCAAAAGACAAATGGATTCTTGGCTGGGCATGGTGGCTCACACCTGTAATCCCAGCACTTTGGGAGGCGGAGGCGGGCTGACCACCTGAGGTCAGGAGTTTGAGACCAGCCTGACCAACATGGTGAAACTGTCTCTACCAAAAATACAAAAAAAAAAAAAAAAAATTAGCCAGGCATGGTGGCAGGCACCTGTAATCCCAGCTACTTGGGAGGCTGAGGCAGAAGAATTGCTTGAATCCGGGAGGTGGAGGTTACACTGAGCCAAGATTGTGCCATTGCACTCCAGCCTGGGTGACAAGCGTGAAACTCCATCTCAAAAAAAAAAAAAAAAAAAAGAAGAAAAAGAAAAAGAAAAAGAAAAATGGATTCTTATTGCACTAATGCAAACAACTATATTGCCATAAGTTAGCAAAAAACTATATTGCCATAAATTAACAGTACTCACAGATAGTTTCCAAATTCTAGAGGAACCAGGCAGAGAGAAACAAACATGCTCCAAATTTTGTTCACAATAGTATACCTTACTCTATTATTAAAGGCCATAAATAGCTCAAAATAATTTTTCTTGACTCTGAAAAACAAAACAAGGATCAGCAATATTTCAAGCAAAAGTCAAAAAAAATGCTTTAGCTTTCTGAGTGCAGTCCATTTAGTTAACTCTTGTTTTGCTTGATATTCTTGAACATTTCAGTTCTTCATGAGTCCTGTACATTTTTTATCTATTCCAATGCTACAATCTTCAAAACTATTAGAAACCTACACTTGAAAACACCTATTAAAGTCTTATAACTTGATTATAATCCATCTTTTGGGAAGGAACAAAGCAAGACAACAGTTGTCTGCGAATGACAAAATTTCCAGCGTAGTTACAGTTAAAAACATGACTGACAAAGAAGTTTAGTTATCTCTGTGGTTTACAATAAATTTAACCTTAATTATGATTGACAGCATATACTTAGACATTAGAATTTCAGAAGTCCCATGCAATTTTGGAACATATATTAGTATTAGTCACCAAAACACAACTTAATGAAGATTGGACATCATTTTGGCAATACCATGTAACTAAACACGTCAAATAATCTTATTTACCTCTTCTCTGGATGTGTCAGGGGCCCTGAAAGCCAGACATCAGGAAAGGCAATTTTGAAACTTAAAAGTTTGATTTTGGGAGGCCTGTTAAATGTTAGAGGGTTAAAACACTTGATGTTATGAAATAGAATTCCAGATTGCCATAAATTATTTATTTTGCCAAAATGACTCAAAACACAAAAACCTTTCATTAGTCTTTACTATTACATGAAATTTTTGTTCAAAGCCAAATTTTACCGTTGCATTAGTTTATTAATGTTAAACCACCTTTTGATGAAACCTCATAGAAAATTCCATCTAATCTTAACCAATTTAACCATGAGGTGAAATCTTTACAAATCCTTTATAACACCTTTTGCTAAAGGGCAGATTAGCATCTATGACAACCTTGCTGTGCTTTTATTTCAATGCTCAATTTATGAAAAGACCATATAATAACCTTTTGAATTTAATGTTTACACATTTTTTGGCAAGATTAGTTTTTTACAATCTTACTATAGCTTTCTTAAACCTCTAGCTTTATCTTATCAAATTTAACATAATTCCTCATCCCTTGGCAAAATTTACATTTCCATGCTTTCTTTTACTAAAAACATGTTTTACTGTTTTTACACACCTTGTATGTACAACTGTTTAGTGATCTCAAATACATGCTGCAATGTTAACTCTTAGCAACTTTTACTTTTGGTGAAAAATCTGGTTAGTAAGCAGCTAGCCTAGGACCCAGACAGAAGTGCAGATAAGGTCTCTTTCCAGCATCCCAAGCCTTACCTATCTGTAAAGCAGCAGTATACAAACTTGGAACAAACAAAACTAGTATCTAAGTTGTATGATTTAGAAAATCTATTTGCATTTTGACAACACTTGCACTTCATGAATAATCCTTGACTATTTTTATTTCTTAAAGATTAAAGTCATGTAAACTAAAAAATATTTAATTTAAGCACTTATTTTTCCTTAAGTCAACTAATTAGAACTCTTTAGCACTTATTTTTCCTTAAGCCAATCAATTAGATCTCTTTATAGACATCACACACAACACATATACAGTGACACAAACAGACAGAAGATTCAGCACTTGTAAGATATTTCACTTGCCAGTTTCTTAATTGGGTTACTGGCTTCAGGGTGGAGACCTTGAAGGAACAGGGCCAGGATAGCATGCATTTCTAGGGCCTAATAAGCAAGCAGAGCTGAAGGCAAAGACAGATCCCCAGAATTAAGGGTGTCACTTTATACTGGATCTTGGATCCCCCAAAGGAGAGAGATACTATGGGAGAAGACAGTACAGTGCTTCTACCATGCATTTCATTGCAAGACATCCCAAAGCCAATTGGCTTATTTTGTATGCAGCCCATTCTCCATGGGAGTCTCATCTCTTAGTCAGGGGTGGAGATGTTTCCATATCTTTTAGGTGACCAAGAGCATTCTTCTCTGAGTCAAATATGCAGTTAAGCATTCCTCCATAACTACTATTAACCATCACTTAAAATATATTTCCTACCTAGTTATTACACTCCAAAACTCTCTCATAATGTGAAGTAATTTGATACCCTCCAAACTCAAAACTGTCAGATAACACAATGCGAAACAGAACAGAGCCTTTGATTTTGAGAGGGAACTATCTGCTTTTAATTCCTGGGGTTTCGTGAGGAAAACAGGTTTTTTTACCCAAGGAGTCCCAGGCTACCAGAAGTTATCTTAGGGCCTCTCTTGTGTGCATTAAGAGTGGAAAGACAGAAAAAAATGGAGGAAAACAATTCAGTCAACTGGAAAGAAAAAAAAATTGTTTTCAGAAAAAAAAAACTTTTTTCAGAAAAAAAAAATCCAAGAAGAGAAAAACATAAAGGCCATTTAAATATGCCCATAACTTGAATTGAATATCTACTTTTAACTAAGCTGACAACTTCTTTTTTTTTTTTTTTAGATGGAATTTCACTCTTGTTGCCCAGACTGGAGTGTAGTGGCGTGATCTCAGCTCACTGCAACCTCTGCCTCCCGGATTCAAGTGATTCTCCTGCCTCAGCCCTCCTGAGTAGCTGGGATTACAGGTATGTGCCACCATACCCAGCAAATGTTTGTATTTTTAGTAGAGACAGGGTTTCACCATGTTGGTCAGGCTGGTCTCGAACTCCTGACCTCAGGTGGTCCACCTGCCTTGGCCTCCCAAAGTGCTGGAATTACAGGCGTGAGCCACTAAGCCTGGCTGAAGCTGAGAACTCTTTAAGAAAATCCTTTTAAATCCCTTGTTACTTGACTTTAGCCATGCCAAGCAGTTCAGATTTTCAGCTTTTGAACTTTACAAGTAATCTCACAGGTGAAACCAACAAGCCTTAATTAGGTTATGACTTAACTGTGAATGTACATGGGAGAATGTAGGTCTTCTCCCACAGTATCTCTCTCCTTTTGGGGATCCAACATCCAGTATAAAATGGCACCCTTAATTTTGGGGATCTGTCTTTGCCTTCAGCTCTGCCTGCTTATTAGGCCCTAAAAAAGGTATTTTCAAAGGAGTGATAAGCAGGTTTTGAAACCGTTATTGCAAAATTGTGACTGAGACAATGAAAGAGATCTGACCCACCCAACTCCATTTTGTTTCCAGCCCCAAAGCTGACCTTGTCCATCCCTGGGCATAGGCTAAATCAACTTTGGGAGGAGCCTGGTTTACAGTTTATAGTCTAAAAAAAAGATGATCATAGTCCCTTCCTAAGATATACTTCCCTCTTTCCCAGGGACAAGACCAAGAAACTAGCCATAAGATTAGAAACCGTGGCTTAGGAGTCATGCAGCTGGATGCTACAAGATTTTGACCCTTCTTTAATGCTCTCAAGATCAGGGCTTAAGATATTTTCTAAACTCTGCCCTTGATGGTTCAGCTGGCACCACCTAGATCAATAAACTGGCTGATCTGATTTTAGGGCCTCCAGCCAGGAACTGACTTAGCACAAGAATACATCCACCGTTGTAAAATGGTGGAGATTAAAACAAAGTATTACCATGAGGTTACAGGTCATGTTCCCAAGGACATGAATCAAGATGGAGGCCTGTAGCCAGCCTTGTTACTGACCATTTTGTTGAGCTGGCTTGAACAACGGGCTTATGGGGTCCTATACCTGTATCCTAACCTAAGGTACCCTTTCTTTTGACAGAACCATACAGAAAGACACACCAAGTATGCCAAATTGGCTACAGCTTAAGATCATCCTCACAAATCCTCTTTCATTAATTAAAACTTAAGAATATAAACAATAATCCTTATCATCCCTTTTACTGGTTTGTGCAGGGAGAGAGAAGCCAAAAACTTGACTGTTAAAATTTTTTTTTTACCCTTTTGCTGGCATGTCAGGCTTCTGGGTTCCCTTCCCCCTAACTCAACTCTAAGCCAAGCATTTTAAGGTTTGGGGAAATTAACTTTTCCCAGATTGGAAGAACATTATAAAAGAGCCATTTTAAACTGTGAAAGAAGGAAAAATACCATAGAAAAGTCTAGGGGTTCCAATTATGGTTGTCAAGAAGTACTACCTCTCTTCCCATTGGGAAATAGGAAATTGCTCAACTCCGAAACTCTACTGCCTGCCGAGCTGCCTGCTTTTCAGCCGCAGTTAGGGTTTGGCTTAGGAGCAGCCTAGCATCCCTTCATGAGAGGTCAAACACCTGAGTTAAATTTTAGAAACCTATCATGTAACTATCAGGGTCATTAGAAAATTGTTCTAACTCTCCCTTTATTTGCCTAAGGTCCTGTAATGAGAAGGGAACTTAAGGGAGCCCCAAATAAGGAGGAATTTCCAATTGTTCCCCTGGAAGTTGCTTCTCTAACATTGGAGAATCATTCTCCATAGGCCTGCCTGATATGACTACTAAAAGAGATAGGTTGATTTTGTAACACCTGCAAAAGGTCTAGTAAGAAGGCCATGCCCTTGTGCAAAAGAAAATGGGCCACTTTTTCTTTAAATTCTTAGGGTCAAAGGAATCCCTGTGCTTCAGGATACACTCCTGAGGGTTGCAGGCTGAAGATGATCTGTTACCCATCTAGAAAGAGAAGTGAGAAATCGGCATCCCTTTAGTCTCCGTCCTTTTGGTATGACCCAGGGTGGAGAGGAAGACAATGGGGCCATCCTCCCTGCTGTTTTCCTTCCGTGGTTCCTGGGTCGTGGCACCTTGTTGAGTGTGCCACCCATGGTTGCAGGCATGACCCCCAGCCATGGAACCAGAGGAACTAAGTGATTAGGATTAGTCACACTCACCCATGTAGCTCTAGTCCTCTTCCTGTGATTTTCTTTTGACTTCCTAGACTTGTGTGACCTACCTGGCTCCCCGAAATATGTATCTTGGGAGAGACTGTGACATTTGCATTTCCCTCCTTAATGGAGGAAGTGTGCTTATTTGAGTTCTATACCCTGCTATTATGGCCTGTGCTAAAGTGTCTACCCTTTGAGAATGGTTCTGGTTAACTTCTAAACTTAAAATCCGTTTACTAATTAAGTGCCATTTAAATTGGAGGCAGAATAGGTGCCTTAAAAATATAGGGACCAAATGACTGTTTTTCTGCTGATGGGACAGTATTGAGACTAAAATTTGGTTCTGGAGGACATTTTACTCCCAATTGTTGAAGGTAGAGTTTTCTTGTTCACAGAAGCAGTATAAAGCCTGGTTTCTAGTAGAGGGGCACAAAAAGGGAGAATTGAGTGTTTTGGTAAAGGACAGACAATGTGCCTCATTGAGAAGATCCCTATTCCATTAGGTGGCATTGTCGACCTTGAAATTCCATGTGCTCTCCAGACTAAGGGCAGAGTGACCTTGACATGCCACGTACTCTCCATACCAAGGGCAGTGAGAGACCTGGAAATGCTATGTGCTCTCCAGACCAAGAGCAGAGGGTGACACTCACTATGTGTGTGTGTGTGTGTGTGTGTGTGTGTTGGGGGGGGGGGTCCCTCTGTTTCTAGAAAATCATAAAAACACTTTCCCTTGAGTTATATCCCCAGTTACTATGACAGTCCCTGATCTTGCCAAACAAGAATACTTCCCCGAACTATAAAACTTTCCACACATTGCATACACAGAGAGGATATGAGATATGGTGGTCATGGACAGGAAAGAAGGAAATTACGGTAGAAAAGTTGAAGATCCTGCTGCCAACACCCCACTGGACGGTTAAAGGCTGGGTCAGTCCAGAAGCCTTTGGGTAACACCCGGGGATAGGCCCAGCCAGAAATCCTCAGTTGCTCCAAAACGTCTTCCAGCCCCATGTGACAGCTAAGTCCTCTGTAAAAGGAAGCTGGTTCAAACATAGCCAACATGCCCAGCAACCCATGGGTGCTGGGGGATTCTCCATATTCTCCTGAGTAAGCCTGTCCCCCAAGTCTTGTAAGGCTGGTATCCATGCTAATCATTATTAAATGGCTGAAGGGGGCCCAGTATTTGGTTTGATTTGGTTCTAAGATGGAGGCCAAGAGCCCTGAAATGAAAAGACAGAGATGGAGTCCACTTCTCTACTGATTCTTTCAATGAATGCTGTACCTGCATATCCCTGACAAGCCCCCAGTATGAAGTGGCTATGTTGTCTGGGGTATATACTCTGGGGTTCGTCATCTCATGCCAGGAAAATTTAGGACACAGATACACACGAGGAGTTTAGGAGCAGAGGTTTAATAGGCAGAAGAAAAGAGAAAGAGAAACAGCTCTCTCTCTATAGAGAGACGGGTCTCCGAGCGGAAAAGACTGGCAGGCAGCAGATGCGCTGGATTTTACAGTCAGGTTTGAGAAGGCAATGTCTGATTTACATAGGGCTCACAGATTGGTTCTATCAGGTATGACGTTTACATAGTGCATGGGGAAGGCTAGCTGCCCCACCCTAATCTTATTATACAAATGAATTTTCCCATTGACCAGCATCACCTTATTGTACACATGGCTGATAAAGCAAAGGGGAGATGAGGACACCATTTTGAACATGATTGGCACAACTGCTGGCATCTATGTCTGCAGTTTGATTTTACAGGCTACTCTTTGTTAGAAAGGAAAATGATTTGGGGCTGCTTTTCATTAAAATGAAAACCTTACTGAGGACTTCCGTACCCCCCTCAGTATCTGCCTAAGTAATTTCTTAACTCCTGTATTGTTACCAGCCATTAGGAAAATGCAAATTAAAGCTACAATGAGGAGCCACCACAGACCAATTAGAATGCCTAAAATTAAAAATCTGACTACCTTAAGAATTGTAGAGCAATTAGAAACATTTTATGTTCCTAGTAGGAATGCAAAAATGTATTATCAGTTTGGTAAACATTTTTGCTACTTTCTTATAGAGCTATACAGACATTTTCCTTAACCTAGCAATCCCACTCTTAGATATTTACTCAAGAAAAATGAAACATGTTTATACAAAGACTTGTACTCTAATGTTCATAGTAGCTTTATAACCTAAGTGGAAATAACCCGAGAGCCCATCAACTGGTGAATAGATAAGTAAACACTGATATGTTGATATAATGGAATACTACTCAGCAACAAAAAGAAATAAGCTACTGATGCTACTCAACAAAGTATATGCCTCTTAAAAGCATTATGCTGAGAAAGAAGCCAGACAAAAGTGATTACACAGTCAATGACTCTAACTAAAAGACATTCTAGAAAGTAAAACTATAGTGAAAGAAAGCAGATATATTTTCAAATACCTAAATGTGGGGTGTAGGAGATTAACTCTGAAGTGGCAAAGGGAATGTTATGGGGTGATGGAAATATTCCACATCATGTTTCTGGTATGTTTACTTGATTAAGTGTATTTGCCCGAATGAATTGTACCCTTTAAATTTGGTGAATTTTATTATATGTAAATCATACATCAACAATTCTGATTAAAAATAGAATTCCAAGATTGTCAAAGAAATATCCTAAGGTAGTAAGTGGCAAAACAATACTAATATAGAGAAAAGAAAATTTCCAAACAGTAGATTTATATCCTGAATTATTTCTCCAAGGATCAATGACTTAGAATAGCTTAAAGAACTACCTGCTTTAAAGGTATGTGAATTTTAATGGGAGAACTCTATTTGAATTCAGGTAAGAGGTGTGTGTGTGTGTGTGTGTGTGTGTGTGTGTGTGTGTGTGTGTTTGGGCTGGAGAGCTGTAAAGGCCATAATCACGGAGCAAGTTGCTATAAAGGGTAGAGACCAAAGCCTCTTTGCGCAATTGTTTCAAGGGAGCCAACGGAGAAAGGATGAACTGCACCCTGACTCTAGAAGACACATTGTCAAGAGGCTGGTCAGGTAGGTTCCTTGGGAAGGCTGGCTGGATATGCAGCATTGATTTGAAAACTCTTTGCTTATAAATGCTCCCTGTTTACATGCAGTAATTCACGGCCCTGAGTTAACATACCCTGTGTGTAAGAGTCTCTCCTCAGGAATAGAGGGGGTGCAGATTTGCTGCTAATATGCAAAGTATTTCATTTAGTAATGGCTTTCAGTAGGCCCATTTAAAGCTCTCCTACTGTTATAGTAATAGATCGGATCTATAAATTGTTTGCTAACAGTCAATGTTTGCACTAAATACAATCAAATGGAAACATACCTCTAAAGTAAACAAATAAGTTCTTATTCTGTGCAATTTTCTCCAAACAAAATTAATCTTACCACCATTTCTTGCTGCAAGTAATCTGGAAATGACATTTTCTCCCAATCTACTTAGAGGCTTTCTGAGGACACTAGAGGTCCCCTGGATTCCCTGCCTATTCCTTGCTTCCTTAGCAGACAAAGAGGCCTTGGTTTCCACACTTTACCTTATGGTAGCCCATCCTTGCTCCGTGATAGAGTCCATCCCTTTTTTGCTCCTGAAAGCAATGGGTGCTCACAATTTTACTTTGGACCCAGAGAACAAGCAGAAGTAGGAAAGGCATGGTAATGAAATAATAGAGCTGGTGGTTGGAATGTTTGTTCATTTTCCCAGTGAACTGTGACCTGATCAGTTGTATTTATTTGCCAGATCCAACAAGATGCAAGTGATGGGACAGTTTAAGAATTGTTAAAAGTAGCTGAGATACACAACAACTGATGCTGGTCCTATTATTTTCTCTTCCAGAAATCAGGATACAGATCTGAATTTTGGTAGCAACCTAGGATTTGCACATATTTGTATTTCATTTCTTTTTTTTTTTGAGACAGAGTCTTGCTCTGTCGCCCAGGCTGGAGTGCAGTGGCACGTTCTTGGCTCACAGCAAAGCTCCGCCTCCCGGGTTCACGCCATTTCATTTCATTATTACTCCCCACAAACACATCCTAATTTCTCCAGACTTGATTATCCTCCATCACACCTATCTTCTCCCATCAAAAAATCCAACAAATGAACACAAATAAAAATACCCCTTCCTGGTAAACTGTATAAAATACAGTCTTTTTTTCAGTTTATTAATCAATATAGCCAACATGTAGCTATATTTAGCTAATTGTTTCGGAAAGGATTGGCACGGGACTTGCAAGACTTTATATTAGCATGACAGTATTTATCTGGAACATATTTAATCACTTCCACGTACTTTTTGCCTTCTGCCACTTGTTTGGCCCTATCAAAGTGGATGCAGATGAAAGAAAAAAAAACATTCTACACATTTACAGTCATCCCTGTGTATCTGTGGGACTTTGGCTCCAGGACCCCCTGGATACCACAATTCAACGGTCTTAGATAAAATTGCTTAGTATACGCACATAATCTACGAACATCCTCAGGTCTACATTACCTATAATGCCTGACTAGTGTAAGTGCTGTGTAAGTGGTTGTTAAATTGTATTTTTTGTTTATATTATTCCTATTGTCATATTGTTATTTTTTTTCCTGCAAATATTTTTGATCCATGGTTGTTTGAATCAGCAGATATGGAACTTGTGGATGCAGAAGTCATCTAAGCATGATTATTATAAACTTTTATTTCCCTTCAGAGACTTACAAGGCCTTACAAGTTCTTACAAGGGGAAGGAAGGGGGCAATCCCTTGCTCTGTTTTAATTCAGAATGTCTTTTGAAATCTTCTGTAGCTTCCAGGCTAAACAATCAGTATTTGGGAAAAAGATCCTAATGGTGTAATCACAGATTAATGGAATTTTACGTATGTAGGGAACATCAAAATCAAATACAACCCCAGACAATTGAGATTTAAGGAATATTAATACATTTATTCTTGAACATGTGGCTTGTGCCAAAGTCTAGAATTTTTTTATTATTATTATTATTATTATTATTATTATAATACTTTAAGTTCTAGGGTACATGTGCATAATATGCAGGTTTGTTGCATAGGTATACATGTGCCATGGTGGTTTGCTGCACCCATAAACTCATCACTTACATTAGGTATTTCTTCTAATGCTATCCTTCATCCAATCCCCCACCCCAGGACAGGCCCCAGTGTGGATGTTCCCCTCCCTGTGTCCATGTGTTCTCACTGTTCAACTCCCACTTATGAGTGAGAACATGTGGTGTTTGGTTTTCTCTTCTTGTGTTACTGTGCTGAGAATGATGGTTTCCAGATTCATCCATGTCCCTGCAAAGGACATGAACTCATCCTTTTTTATGGCTGCACAGTATTCCATGGTGTATATGTGCCACATTTTCTTTATCCAATCTATAATTGATGGGCCTTTGGGTTGGTTCCAAGACTTTGCTATTGTAAACAGTGCTGCAATAAATACTCGTGTGCATGTTATAAAATCGTCTTTACAGTAGAATGATTTATAATCCTTTGTGTATATTCCCAGTAATGGGATTGCTGGGTCAAATAGTATTACTAGTTCTAGATCCTTGAGGAGTTGTCACACTGTCTTCCACAATGGTTGAACCAATTTAAATTCCCACTAACAGTGTAAAAGTGTTCATTCCTATTTGTCCACATCCTCTCCAGAATCTGTTGTTTCCTGACTTTTTAATGATCACCATTCTAACTGGCAATGAGATAGTATCTCACTGTGGTTTTGATTTGCATTTCCCTAATGACCAGTGATGATGAGCATTTTTTCATAATTTTGTTGGCTGCATAAATGTCTTCTTTTGAGAAGTGTCTGTTCATATCCTTCGCCCACATTTTGATGGGGTTGTTTTTTTCTTGTAAATTGGTTTAAGTTCTTTGTAGATTCTGGATATTAGCCCTTTGTCAGATGGATAGATTGCAAAAACTTTCTCCCATTCTGTATGTTGCATGCTCACTCTGATGAGAGTTTCTTTCGCTGTGCAGAAGCTCTTTAGTTTAATTACATCCCATTTGTCTATTTTGGATTTTGTTGCCATTTCTTTTGGTGTTTTAGTCATGAACTCTTTGCCCATGCCTATATCCTGAATGGTATTGCTTAGGTTTATGGTTTTAGGTCTTAATTTAAGTCTTTAATTCACCTTGAGTTAATTTTTGTATAAGGTGTAAGGAAGGGATCCAGTTTCAGCTTTCTGCATATGACTAGCCAGTTTTCTCAGCACCATTTATTCAATAGGGAATCCTTTCCCCATTGCTTGTTTTTGTCAGGTTTGTCAAAGATCAGATGGTTGTAGATGTGTGATGTTATTTCTGAGGACTCTGTGCTGTTCCATTGGTCTGTATATCTGTTTTAGTACCAGTAACATGCTGTTTTGGTTACTGTAGCCTTGTAGTATAGTTTGAAGTCAGGTTGCGTGATGCTTTCAGCTTTGTTCTTTTTGTTTAGGATTGTCTTGGCTATGCAGGCTCATTTTTGGTTCCATATGAAATTTAAAGTATTTTTTTTCCAATTCTGTGAAGAAAGTCAGTGGTAGCTTGATGAGGATAGCATTGAATGTATAAATTACTTTGGGCAGTATGGCCATTTCACATTATTGACTCTTCCTATCCATGAGCATGGAATGTTCTTCCATTTGTTCGTGTCCTCTTTTATTTCATTGAGCAGTGGTTTGTAGTTCTCCTTGAAGAGGTCCTTCACATCCCTTGTAAGTTGGATTCCTAGGTATTTTATTCTCTTTGAAGCAATTGTAAATGGGAGTTCACTCATGATTTGGCTGTTTGTCTGTTATTGGTGTATAGGAATGCTTGTGATTTTTGCACATTGATTTTGTATCCTGAGACTTTGCTGAAGCTGCTTATCAGCTTAAGGAGATTTTGGGCTGAGATGAAGGGGTTTTATAAATATACAATCATATCATCTGCAAATAGAGACAATTTGACTTCGTCTTTTCCTAATTGAATATCCTTTATTTCTTTCTCTTGCCTGATTGCCCTGGCTAGAACTTCCAACACTAGGTTGAATAGGAGTGGTGAGAGAGGGCATCCTTGTCTTGTGCCAGTTTTCAAAAGTGAATGCTTCCAGTTTCCATTCAGTATGATATCAGTTGTGAGTTTGACATAAATAGCTCTTATTATTTTGAGATATGTTCCATCAATACCTAATTTATTGAGAGTTTTTAGCATGAAGGGCTGTTAAATTTTGTCGAAGGCCTTTTCTGCATCTATGAAGATAATCATGTGATTTTTGTCATTGGTTCTGTTTATCTGATGGATTACATTTATTGATTTGCATATGTTGAACCAGCCTTGCATCCTAGGGATGAAGCCGACTTGATCCTGGTGGATAAGCTTTTTGATGTGCTGCTGGATTTGATTTGCCAGTATTTTATTGAGGATTTCTGCATTGATGTTCATCAGGGATATTGGCCTAAAATTTTCTATTTTTGTTGTGTATCTGCCAGATGTTGGTATTAAGATGATGTTGCCCTCATAAAATGAGTTAGGGAGGATTCCCTTTTTTTTTTTTTTCTATTGATTGGAATAGTTTCAAAAGGAATGGTACCATCTCCTCTTTGTACCTCTGCTATAATTTGGCTGTGATTCCGTCTGGTCCTGGGCTTTTTTTTGGTTGGTAGGCTATTAATTATTGCCTCAATTTCGGAACCTGTTATTGGTCTATTCGGAGATTTGACTTCTTCCTGGTTTAGTCTTGGGAGGGTGTATGTGTCCAGGAAGTTATCCATTTCTTCTAGATTTTCTAGTTTATTTGTATAGAGGTGTTTGTAGCATTCTCTGATGGTAGTTTGTATTTCTGTGGGATCAGTGGTGATATCCCCTTTATCATTTTTTATTGTCTCTATTTGATTCTTCTCTCTTTTCTTATTAGTCTGGCTAGTGGTCTATCTATTTTGCTGATCTTTTCAAAAAACCAGCTCTTGGATTCATTGATTTTTTGATGGGTTTTTTGTGTCTCTCTCTCCTTCAGTTCTGCTCTGATCTTAGTTATTTCTTTTCTTCTGCAAGCATTTGAATTTGTTTGCTCTTGCTTCTCTAGTTCTTTTAATTGTGACATTAGGGTGTCAATTTTAGATCTTTCCTGCTTTCTCTTGTGGGCATTTAGTGCTATAAATTTCCCTCTAAACACTGCTTTAAATGTGTCCTAGGGATTCTGGTACATTGTGTCTTTGTTCTCATTGGTTTCAAAGAACATCTTTATTTCTGCCTTAATTTTGTTATTTACCCAGTAGTCATTCAGGAGCAGGTTGTTCAGTTTCTATGTAGTTCTGCAGTTCTGAGTGAGTTTCTTAATCCTGAGTGCTAATTTGATTGCACTGTGGACTGAGAGACAGTTTGTTGTAATTTCTCCTACATTTTCTGAGGAGTGTTTTACTTCCAATTATGTGGTCAATTTTAGAATAAGTGTGATGTGGTGCTGAGAAGAATGTATATTCCATTAATTTGAGGTGGAGAGTTCTGTAGATATCTATTAGGTCTGCTTGGTGCAGAGCTGAGTTCAAGTCCTGGATATCCTTGTTAATTTTCTGTCTTGTTGATCTAATGTTGACAGTGGGGCATTAAAGTCTCTTACTATTATTGTGTGGGAGTCTAAGTCTCTTTGTAGGTCTCTAAGAACTTGCTTTATGAATCTGGGTGCTCCTGTATTGAATGCATATATATTTAGGATAGTTAGCTCTTCTTGTTGCATTGATCCCTTTACCACTATGTAATGCCTTTCTTTGTCTCTTTTGATCTTTGTTGGCTTTAAGTCTGTTTTATCAGAGACTGGGATGGCAGTCCCTGTTTTTTTTTGCTTTCCATTTGCTTGGTAGATCTTCCTCCATCCCTTTATTTTGAGCCTATGTGTGTCTTTGCACGTGAGATGGAACCAAGTTAGAAAACACTCTTAAGTATATTATCCAGGAGAACTTGCCCAACCTAGCAAGGCAGGCCAACATTCAGTTCAAGAATTGAATGAATTCATTCTGCTGAATACAGCACACCAATGGGTCTTGACTCTTTATCAGTTTGCCAGTCTGTGCCTTTTAATTGGGGCATTTAGCCTGTTTACATTTAAGGTTAATATTGTTATGCGTGAATTTGATCCTGTCATAATGATGCTAGCTGATTATCTTGCCCATTAGTTGATGCAGTTTCTTCATAGCGTCAATGGTCTTTACAATTTTGCATGTTTTTGCAGTGGCTGCTACTAGTTGCTCCTTTCCATGTTTAGTGCTTCCTTCAGGAGCTCTTGTAAGGCAGGCCTGGTGGTGACAAAATCTCTCAGCATTTGCTTGTCTGTAAAGAATTTTATTTATCCTTCACTTATGAAGCTTAGTTTGGCTGGATATGAAATTCTGGGTTGAAAATTCTTTCCTTTAAGAGTGTTGAATATTGGCCCCCACTCTCTTCTGGCTTGTAGGGTTTCTGCTGAGAGATCCACTGTTAGTCTGATGGGCTTCCCTTTGTGGGTAAACTGACCTTTCTCTCTGGCTGCCCTTAACATTTTTTCCTTCATGTCAACCTTGGTGAATCTGATGTTTATGTGTCTTGGGGTTGCTCTTCTTGAGGAATATCCTTGTGGTGTTCTCTGTATTTCTTGAATTGAATGTTGGCCTGCCTTGCTAGGTTGGGGAAGTCCTCCTGGATAATATCCTGAAGAGTGTTTTCCAGCTTGGTTCCATTCTCCTCGTCACTTTCAGGTACACCAATCAAACATAGATTTGATCTTTTTACATTGTCCTATATTTCTTGGAGGCTTTGGTCATTTCTTTTCACTCTTTTTTCTCTAATCTTGTCTTCTTGCTTTATTTCATTAATGTGATCTTCAATCACTGATATCCTTTCTTCCACTTGATCAAATCAGCTATTGAAGCTTGTGTATGCTTCACGAAGTTCTCGTGCTGTGTTTTTCAGCTCCATCAGGTCATTTATGTTCTTCCCTACACTGGTTATCCCAGTTAGCAATTTGTCTAACCCTTTTTCAAGATTCTTAGCTTTCTTAAAAATATGGAATGCTTCACGAATTTGCGTGTCATCCTTGCACAGGAGCCATGCTAATCTTCTCTGTATCATTCCAATTTTAGTATATGTGCTGCTGAAGTGAGCACAAAGTCTAGCATTTTTTATTCTCAGTATAGTATTTGCCCACCGCACTAACGGTATGACTACATGTATTGATGAAAAATATATAGCAGATCTAGAAGTACTCTCTACTAGAGGCACTCAGAGCTTTGTGAAAAGCTGTGTCTAACATGGGTATTGAAAATAAATTCAGGCCAGGCACTATTGCTGATGACTGCAGTCCCAGCAGTCTAGGAGGCTGAGGCTGGCAGATTGGTTAAATGGAAGCGTTTGAGACCAACCTGGTCAACATGGTGAAATCTTGTCTCTCCAAAAAAAAAAAAAAAAAAAAAAAAAAAAAAAGCAAGTCATGGTAGCATATGCCTGTAGTCCCAGCTACTAGGGAGTCTGAGGTGGGAGGATTACTTGAGCCCAAGGAGGTTGAGGCTGCAGTGAGCTGAGATCATGCCACTGCTCTCCAGCCTAGGCACAAGAGTGAGACTCAGTCTCAAAAAAATAAAAGAAAATAAATTCAAACATGTGTGACTCATTTACTCCCAACCTACAGCAGTAGGTGGATTATGCAACACAAACTAACAGTCACAAAAAATTTGCCTTTGATGACTTTACTGGATTTTTACCCTATGTCAAATCAATCCTCTTTTATGGTTTAAATGGGCTCCTAAAATATTTTGCCTTGCTGGTCTCCTCGGAATACATTTGTTTTGCCTGGCTTGTCATAATCTATAGAATTTAAATGGAACCTTTGTTCCCACTTCAGCAAGTCACCTATGAGGCATCTAGCATATAACCTGCCTCCTGCTAGGTGCTGCCAGCCCAGTATTGAATGAAACAGAAATTATCTTTGCCTTTGTGCTGCTTACAGTCTAGCTTACCAGGAAAATGAGAAGATCCTTCCGTGTCAGCTCTGGGGCCCCATCTCCAGCAACTGGGGTTCAGTAGGTCTATTTTGGCCCAGGAATCTGAATTTTAATAGGCTTCCCAGGTGTTTTTTATGCAAGCTGTCCAAAGGCCATGCTTAAAGAAGCACATGTTCTACCACGTACTCAGACAGCTTTGGGGGTATGTCTTATGAGCCAAGGCATTTGTCTTTGTCTGCCAAAACAAAAATACCTTAAACAATAGACATCTATTTTCTCACAGTTCTGGCAGCTGTAAGTCCAAGATCAAGGTGTCAGCAGGATTGCCTTCTGGTGAGGTTCTCTTCTTGGTTGGTAGATGGCTGCATTCTCTCTGTGTTCTCACATGGCAGAGAGAGGCAGAATGACAGAAAGCCCACTGGAGTCTCTTCTTATAAGGGCACTAATCCCATAGGACCTGGGCTTCACCTTCATGACTTCATGAAACCATAAGTACCCTCCAAAGGCCCCAACTCCAAAAAGCATCATCACACCAGGGCTAGGGCTGCAGCATATGAATTTTGGGGGACACAATTCTGTCCATAGCAGCATCTTCAACACATCCACTCACTGTCCCTATGACCCTCATTGTTATGGAGCTTGGGGCATCCCCTACTGACACTCCAAATAGTCATGACAGAATTAGAATCTACAGGCAGCTTAAGCCTGCTCCCTAAGATTTCTGATGTATTTCTTAAATGAAATAATGGCTAATTTAAAAAATAAAAATAATAGTTTCAAATTATGTATCTTAGAGAAAAGGTAGCTATTAGATGACGTTACTGTGAACATACAAATATCCCCATCCTCAACTGTGATGTCTTTATTGGAGAATTCTAAACTTGTTAATAAACTTTCTTAAGGGATAGGGGTTCTGTGAATTCAAGCAATATCTTACATTGCATAGATGCACCTAACATCTCCACAAATTGTTATGCAAATTCAACCATTCTGAATCAGTGTCAAAAAGTAAATACAATCACAGTAAAAGGCGGTGCTACCTTGCTGTTCTACATCCCTCACCAAGGCCTTTTCTTTTCCTGGGAACAGCAGTTAAATCCTCTGCCCAGCATTTAATCTTTACAGGTTGTGTGGAGCATAACAAACAAGTAAAAACATATTACAATAATTTAGGAGTAAGAGTTAGCAGAGTGCTATGAGTATTTCTGGATACCACACATTTCAGATTCTCTTGTATAATTGCCTTGGATCTTGGGGGAAAAAATCTTTCTTATAAGTGAAAGCAGACAAATATTTTGGCATCTTTATATTGAGACATCATATATTGTAATGCAAGAGTGATTACCTTATTGGTCTCCAAGCTCTTTCTGGTTCAAGACCACTGTTCACGCTGACCCCCTGGCCCCTCACTCTGACTTTTTAGCCTGTGTCTTTATCCTAATCATATTTTAAGTCATTACCACCCATTTGTTTCTACTGTCTTACTCAAAGTTTTCACAACTTGGTGATTGCTTTTTGGTTGGTTATTAATATATGGTCTGCATTTCCCTTTCAACTGCGGGCTTGTACTTCTGGCACACAGCAGGTGCTCAAGATATGCTTTGTTGAATGCATGAATTCTCTGCATTGAGAGACAGTTGTGACAGATATATAGGGCATAGGTTAAGAGTTTGTGTGCATTTTTGCTCAATTGTGTGTGTGTTTCTCCCTCAGAAATAGAATACGAAAATATATTTTTCCTTCCCATTAAGAACATCTGACAGGAGGTCACACTTCAGTATAGTTGATATATCATGTTTAGAAAAATGAACTTGTTTTTAAATGGGATTTTCATTCTTACACACTTCCTAGTGTTTATGAAAGAGAGAGAAGCTAATGGCCTTGATCTTGCTGGGAGTGTTTTTTATTTTCTATATTTCTCTTCTCGCTAAATAAAAGGGAAATGTGTGGGTAATTACAGGCTATTGCAATGTAATATTCCTGGTGGCCACCATATGAAAGAATCATAAGCATTTTTCATTCCTTTCAACCCAACTAATAGCAGGTAAGTTCACTGCAAGCCAAATCCTTTAATGCCCATAGAAAATATTTTAAAACTTACTGGTTCAAAATTAAGCTTAATTATTTCTCCCTATTTGGCATATGAGAATTATACAATTTTATCTCAAAAAAGAAAATGAAAGAGAAAGTCAAACAGAACTGGTCCCAAATGATATTACGGGTCTTTACAAATAAGCACACAATGACTTGAGGACAGGCAATTACTTTTGGGAAGCAAACAGAAAGAAATGTCAATGCCCCTTACAATTGAGGTGAACATATCCCTGTTTGTCTACCTTCATACAATTACCAAAAGTGCTTCTTTCATCCTCAAAATTATTCTGCTTTAGACAAATTATATAATCACCTTATTTATGATTTAAGAACACCTGAAGCTTAACAATTTTAGAAATTTCAAAAGGTATCTAACTAAATTGCAAAATATATCTCCTAGTGTTGGTTTTGTTTGTCATTTTTAAATATATTTGGAAAAAATAACTGTCCTAAAATTCAGAGAAACCACCACAATTCTTTTCCCTCACATTTAACAGGAGTGGCATATTCTATGTCATAATAATGCATTCTATGGTTATCATAAAGAAAAATTTACAAAACTAGTTTAAACTATACAGCATTACAAACATACCAATAATGGCATATTTCAAGAAAGATAAATAGAAAAGCAAATGCAAAACTATCATTAATCTTAAATTGAATGTCCGCCTCAAAAGATAATTTGTTCTCAAAGCGGTGGGAAGATATATTTTTCTTTTAGCTCTCTATACTTTGGATATCTCATATCCTTACCTAAGACATTAGTCCAAAATAAAGTCTTTTGAAAGAATGCCTACTGAGTTTCAAACCAAGTACTGGCTTCCACTTATTAGGGATAGCTTTAGAATAAGTCTCTGGAAAATAAGTGTCTCCTTGTGTGAGAATATTTGAATAGGAGCAAAATAAATGTTCTATCTCTGAAACATTTCAATATTTTTCAGAGGAAAATCATTTCATGTTTATAATATCTCAGCACAAATTTTACATGAAACACTATAGGAAAGTCTCTTTCTAGTCATTTTTTGAACACTACATTTGAAGAAGAAAATGTTAAAATCACAAAAAGTCATAAATAGTGTGTGTGCATGCATTTTATCAATACAATGATGTTTTTTGTGTCTTTAATGTATGAATAATTTTTAAAGCATATCTTCATTTTTTTCTTTTTTTTTTTGGTTTATTACTTGAGAAAACAGAGGTATCAGCTACTTAAAATTGCTTTGAAAATGTGAACCTAGTCAGACACTGTGCACTGAAACAGTGATAAGTCACAGAATAACTATGAAAAACACTGAATTTCTTCTCAGGGGACCTGGGTTCTGGTCTAGATTCTACCATAAACTAAATTTGTAGTCCTGTGTCATTCATTTTACATTTCTAAATACAAATTTCCTGATACGTAGAAACAAGCTACATATATTTCCCCTGCTTGTTTCCCAGAGTTAACAGGATCAAATAAGAAAACATATGCATATTATTCTCATTCTATTCCATATAAGGTAGACCTGAATAGTATCTTAATTGAGGAAATAAATGACTGTGAAATGCATGAGATTCGGAATCTGATTGGGCTTCCAAGGTTCTTGGCTTGCCAGGTATCTTACCTTTGCAAGTTATTTTACTTTATTAATTCTCAGTTTGTTCATGTGCAAAATGGGGATAATAACTTTATTAAATTTCTCATGCTTATGAGGTAATGCAAAATGTCTCACAAGTAAATATTAGCTTTGGGACTTCAGAGCACGACTGCTGTGATGATGACTTCTTGCAATATTAAATAAGTGGTGAAACCATCAGTGCTTCTAGAAGCCCGAAACATGTCTACACATATATGGGAGACTCAACAAAATGGAGGGAAAAGTGATTCCAATTTTTCAAATTACTATGAAAAGAAAACAGTGACACATTTTATAGATTCTATGTGTTAGTAGGTTGAGTTACTTAATTCGTTCATTTAATTCCACTATATCTTAATATAACCTATATCCTACTATACTAGAAATTGGTTTGTAATATGTTTAAATAGCATGGTCAATAACTAGAAAACTTGATCAAAATATAGTCATCAAAATGAAGAAAGGAGAGTATTAATGGTTATAGAAATTCACTGGCTAAATTGAAGGAGATGGGAGGAGGCCTAGGATATGATCTTCAGAGATTTAGTGTGATCCAGGAGAAAAATCATATAGCAGGTGGATTTCTAGAAGATACACTCAAAAGTTAACACTGAGGTAGAGATTGATAACCATAGTTGAGAACTCTAATTAAATTCCACCACATTGATCAGGCTGAGCCTGTTTCTTGCCTCGGAACCCAGAGGCTTCATGACATTGTTCATAGGCAAGAAGTGATTTCAGATTTTCACATATTTCTGAATAAGATTTATTGTGGGAGAATTAAAGAATGGAGGCACAAATACAAACCCTTGTTGCTCCATCAAATTTTTTCTGAAAATATAATCTTTGCTTTGTAGCTTCTTTTTGTTTATTTTTTTAAATTTTGCTCCAGCTCTTTGTTAAACAAAATTTGAAATGATTTTTTGTATTGTGTGTTAAACATTGGATCTTTGGGAATGCAGAAGAGAAGGATATTATAAGTTAAAGGAGTAAATTATTCAAATTATGCTTCTCTGGATTAAGAATTGTTCTAAGTGTATTCTCAAATTGAAAGTTTATTAATTAGCACTTTTTAATTAAGGTTTTCTCACTATTTTGCCATATTGAATATTAGCTATTATTGATACATCCTCTAAGATGGGCATACAAATGAGAGGATACCTAACCTGACAGGGAAAAACAAATAATTGAAGGAAAAAAAAAACTTATCCTCAAGTGTAAAATCTTACACATCATGAAAAGATTACTAGTAATCAAAGTGTCTGACTTACTCTTTATGCAAATATTATTGAAAATCCTGCATATGCAAACAAAGATTCTTTATGATAGAGATTAAAGACATACAGTGCAGTGATTAGTATTCTTTGTATACATTCAAACCCAACAAGATTGATATGCAAGCAAAATGAATTACAATCAGGAATAACACTCTGTTATTATCAAATCACTCAAAAACAGTACCAAGGCAATACAGCATTCAGGGAAATATGGGAATGTTGTGAGGCATTAGTGAGAGACAGGAAGATTTCTAGGAATATGATTTTATATCATTTATGGTTTAAAAATCTATAGGCAACAGACAAAATAAAACACAATGGAAATGATATACCAGCATAATTATTTATGAAACAAAGACAGTTTTGCATACATTTTCAGGCCTTGGGCAAGATTGATCTTTTTAGGTCTTAGATCCTGAAGATGTATGCTAAACTATTCATAAAATTTTTCATCACAAAATAATACTGTGACTGATTCTGTTCTTATTATTTTAGGGGGGAGAAAACTCCCACGCCCAAATTACATGCTCAATTTGGAAGCTGTTGGGGAATCTACTGTTTCTTTAGGGCAATGATGTTTTTTTAAAATGCTACGCATGTCTTCTAAGGAGCATTTACCCAAAAGATTTCAAGAGTCACAAATTACATCAGATGCTGTTTTAGTCCATTTTGCATTGCTATAAAGGAACTATCTGAGGCTGGGTAATTTATGAAGAAAATAGTTTTATTTGGCTCACAGTTCTGCAGGCTGTACAAGACACATGCACCAGCATTTGCTTCTGGTGAGGGCTTCAGGAAGCTTCCAATCATGGCAGAAGGGGAAATTGAGCAGATAGCACATGGCAATAAAGGAAGGAAGAGAGAGCAGAAAGTGCCATGCTTTTTAAAATAACCAGCTTTTACATGAACTAATAGAGCAAGAACTCAGTCATTACCCAGAGGACAGTACCAAGGCATTCTTAAGGAGCCACTCCCATGACTCAAATACCTCCCACCAGGCTCCACCTCCAACATTGGGGATCAAATTTCAATATGAGATTTGGAGAGGACAAATATCCAAACTATACCACATGCCAAGGTTAAAATAAAATATGGTCATATACTATTTCCTTTTGAAGATTGAACCATAATAGCAATTAAGGTAAAAATAATCTGTAATTAAGAATAAAGCATTTTATTCTTATGGGATTAATTTAGAATTTTACTTAGAATAAATATGGCATTTCTGAAATCTACTCCCTTAAAAATGGCATACTGTGAAAAGCAGACTGGTTTATTTCAAATCTATTGCCAAATAATTTAAAATCTCCAAGCCTCCCCATAACTAAAGCTTGAGTTATTGCACCTGCTTTTGAGCAACTGACAGATCTGTGCTACCTGAACTGATCTCTACTTTATCTCTGACTTGGGATTTAGAAATGTTGCAAGTGCCACATGAAAAGGTGGGCATGCAATAAGAATTGTGCTCTTCATCCTTGAGCCTCTTCTAAAGTTGTCAGGAATAAATGCAACATTCTGAACTACAAATTCATGAACTTAAAAGTTAGGCAAAAAAAGACAGGAAGAAGTGAGATGGTAGAAGTTTGGTAAAGTAAAATAAATAGGTATGTAAAACCAAGAGTGTCTTGCTGAGCACTCAGATTTTTAAATTCTGCATTGTCTCTGGAACAATTTTAAATTCAGGAACTACCCAATCTGGTCAACAAGATTGATTATTGTCACTAGTAACTTCATATCCATTGAAAAAGTCAACATATTTTGTTTCTGAATACAATAAATAATTATTACTTAACTTCTCAGTTGCATTATGATGATGATGATGATGACAGTAACAACACAAATAATTTTATTTTTATGAAATATCTTACTTGACCTTAACAATAACACTGAGAGAGACAATGACAGATTTTGTCATTAACCTCAGTTATCTAAGGAGAAAAGCTTAGATTAATAATGCACTAAGGCTACAGGCCAAGGCCACATGAGTGAGATAAGTGACTGGAACCTGGTTATTATAACTCTATAGCCTGTACTCTTTGGTGGACACCACACAGCCTCTCTATTACTGCCTCATATTAAAGTAGACACTTCATCAGTCTTAAACTTTGTATACAAATAGAGAAATTGATGTGATGAAGGATATCAGCTAATATTTCCTATACTATATTTCAGTTTTAATCTATGTCAAAACTGAAGTGTGTTTATATTTAAAATATTCTAATTTTATATTTTTATTGATACATAATAATTGTACATATTTATGGGGTACATGTGATATTTTGATACATGCATACAATGTGTAATCATCAAATCAGGGTAATTAGGATATCCATCACCTCAAACATTTATCTTTGTGTGTGCTGGGAAAATTTCAGATCTTCTCTTCTAGCTATTTTCAAATATACAATATATTATTGCTAACTATAGACACCCTATTCTATCAAACACTAGAACTTATTTCTTCCATCTAACTGTACATTTGTACCCATTAATCAAACTCTTTTCATCCCACTTCACTTTCCAGCCTCTGGTAATTATCATTCTACTCTCTACCTCCAATACATCAGCTTTTTTTTTTAGCTCTCACAGAAGGGTGAGAACGTGGAATAGTTGTCTTTCTGTGCCTGGCTTATTTCACTTAACATGATGATCAGCAGCTCCATCCATGTTGCTATAAATGACAAAATTTCATTCTTTTTTATGGTTGAATAGTATTCCATTATATTTTTATGGACCACATTTATACATTCATCCATTGATGAACACTTAGGTTTATTCTGAATCTTGGCTATTGTGAATAGTGCTGCAATAAAAATGATGGTGAAGGTATCCCTTTGATATTCTGATTTCCTTACTGTTGGATAAATACCCAGCAGTGGGATTGTGGATCATATAGTATTAATAGCTCTATTTTTAGTTGTTTTTTTAAAGCAACTTCCATACTGTTTTTTATACTGACTATACTAATGTACATTCCTACCAACAGTGTACGAGAGTTTCCCTTTCTCTGAATCTTTGCTAGCATTCGTTATGTTTTGTCTTTTTAACAATAGCCATTTTAATTGGGATGAGATATCTCATTGTGATTTTGATTTGCATTTCTCTGATGATTAGTGATGCTCAGCATTTTTTCATATACCTGTTTGCCATTTATATGCCTCCTTTTGAGAAATGTCTATTCGGATCCTTTGTCCAGTATTTAATGAGATTATTTGTTTTTGTTTTGCTGTTGAATTGTTTGAGTTCCTTGTATATTCTGCAAATTAGTCCTGTCAGGTGAACAGTTCGAAAATGTTCTCTTCCTTTTTGTAAATTGTCTGTTTACTGTGTTCATTGTTTCCTCTGCTGTGCAAAAACTTTAAAAATTTAACAGGTAAGGTGATATGTAAGGGATAGGAGTCTATTTCATTCTTCACATATAAATAGATAGTTTTCCTACCACCATTTATCGAAGAGAGTGTTCTTTCACCAATGTCTGTTCTTGGCACCTTTGTTGAAAATCAGTTGGTTGTAAATACGTGAATATTTTTCTGGGCTCTTGATTCTGTTCCATTGGCCTACGTGTCTGTTTTCATATCAATGTCATGTTGCCTTGGTTACTATGTCTTTGTAGTATATTTTGAAGTGATGCTTCCTGCTTTGTTATTTTTGCTCAAGATAGCATTGACTATTTAGACTTCTTTGTGGTTTCATACAAATTTTAGCATTTATTTTCTATTTCTGTAAAGAATGACATTGGTTCTTTTTATTAATTTCATTTCACCATGGCTTGAAAATATGTAATTTTGATTTTTAAAAACTGATATAATTTTGATTTTTAAAAATTTTTTGAGACTTATTATGTTGCCTAATACATGGTCTATCCTGGAGTATGTTCCATGTGCCAATGAGAAGAATGTATATTCTGAAGCTGTTGGATTAAAATGTTCTGTAAATGTATGCTAGGTTCATTTGCTCTAAAGTACAGTTTAAGTTCAATATTTGTTGGTTGATTTTCTGTAAAGATGATCTATCCAATGCTGAGAGTGGGATGTTAGAGTCTCCAACTATTATTACATTGAGGTCTATCTCTCCCTTTAGATCTAAACATCTTTGCATTATATGCCTGGGTGCTCTTGTGTTGAATACATATATAATTAGAATTGTTATATCCTTTTGCTAAATTGATTTATCATTATATAATTACTTTATTTGCTTATTTTCACAGTTTTCAACTTAAAGTCTGTTTTATCTGATATAAGTATAGCTATTAACATTTGGTTTCCATTTGCATGTAACATCTTTTCACATCCCTTCATTTTCAGTCTATATGTGTCTTTACAGGTGAAATGAGTTTCTTATAGGCAGCATATAGTTAGGTCATGTTTCTTTAATCCTTTCAGCCAGACTATATATTTTAAGTGGGGAATTTAGCCCATTTACATTCAAAGTTATTATTGATAGGTAAAGACTTATTCCTGTTTATTTTGTTAATTGTTTTCTGTTTTCTTTTTGTATACCCTTTGTTTCTTTCTTCTTCTCTTATTGTTTATCATTGTAGCTTTGTGGTTTTATATAGTAGTAATATTTGAGTCATTTTTCTTTCTCATTTGTATGTCTGCTCTGAGTGAGTTTTATACTTTTTTGTGTTTTCATGATAGTATATATTGTCTTTTCACTTTCAGATGTAGGACTTCATTGAGCCTTTTTTGTATGGCCGGTTAGTGGTGATGAATTATCTCAGTTTTTGCCTATAAGAGAAAAACTATTTTTCCTTCATTTTTGATGGATAATTTTGTGGTTCATAGTATTCTTGGCTGGCAGTTTTTATTGTTTGTTTGTTTTTTCCTTTTCAGCACTTTGCTTATATCAACCTATTATTTCCTAGCCTCTATAGTTTCTGCTGAGAAATTCATTGTTAGTCTGATGGGGATACCCTTGCATGTGACTTGATTCTTTTCTCTTGATTCTTTTCTTTTGATGTTTTTAAATTCTCTTCTCTTTCTTTGGCTTTTGACAGTTTCTCTATTATGCCTTGGAGAAGACTTTGAAGTTGAATCTATTTGGGAATCTTTGAGCTTCCTATAATTAAATGTCTATATCTCTTTCAGCTTTTAATACTTGAAAAGTTTTCAGGTATTATTTTGTTAAATAGAATTTCTATGCCTTTTCCCATCTCTTCTTTTTCTGGAACACATACAATTCAAATATTTGGAAGCTTGTGGTGTCTCATATGTAACATAGGTTTTTTCCTTTGGTTTGATCTATTTTATTATTGAATCTTTCAATTGTATGTTTTATTTCATTCACTGAATTGTTCAGTTCCAGGATTTCTGTTTGTTTCTTTTTATGATATATATACATCTTTGTTGAATTTCTCATTCAGATTATGAATATTTTTATGACTTCTTTGTGTTGTTTATCTATGTTCTCTTATATCTCACTAAGCTTCTTCAATATCATTTTGAATTCTTTTTCAGGCATTTCATATATTTTTTAAAAATTAAAATCTGTTGCTCAATAATCATTGTTTTCATTTAGAGCTGTCAAGTTTCCTTGTTTTTTCATATTTCTTATATCTTTATGTTGACACATTTGTATCTGGTATCAGCCAACTTTATGGATTAGCTTTGTAGGGAAAGACTTATTCCAATGATGTATCTAAAGTGTTGGTTGTGTAGGGCATGTTGGTTTTGATTCTGGGTGGGCACAATAGTACAGTCTCTGTGTGACATCTTTGGCTGTATTCAGCATCAGTGGTGTCTTAATTTTTTCAGTGGCTTGGGCTATGGTTGTTAGTGAAGGCTGTGGTAAGGCTTTACTGGAGACAGGGACATCAGGTAGTCAGTCCTTGGGCCCCAGATGGCATATGTGGGCACTGGTGGTAGCAGGTTTGGGCAGGCTAATCTTTGGGCCTTCAAGTGGCTTGCTCAGGTGCTGTAAGTGGCACCTGTGGGCTGGGCAGGCAGACAGGTTCTTGGGCCCCTGGATGGTGAGCATGGGATTCAGCAATGGTAGTTGTGGTAGTGCGTTAATATTCAGGGCCCCAGGTGGCATGCATGGGCACTAATCGTGGCAGTGATGGGCTGGTTGCTACAGCCCCTAGGTCCCCAGGTGGTACATACAGCTTGAGTCAGTCAATCTCCAGGTACCCCAATGATGCATGAAGATAAAGGTTGGGGCAGGAGGGGCTGGTCAATTCCCAGATGACAGGCACCAGCTATTGTGGGTGGGGTACTTGATTTCCAAGCACTAGGTAGCAGCCATGGGCAGAGTGGGCCTGTCCTCAGGCCTCGGGATGATGCCCAGGAGTGCCAGTCACCAGGCCTTCTGAAGGCACATGCAGGTATGCAGCAGCCTCGCTGCTGGGTGTGGGTAGTAACGTTGCTGTCAGCAGCCCAAGACAGGCAACTCTCAGGCTCTGGGGAGGTATGCTTCAGCTCTCTTTGTCCTGAGGCCAGCTTCCCTGGTGCACTGCACCCTGCATTTCTTGGGTGCGAGACATTGCGTAGGCTAGAGTGCTGGGGACCTGGCTGCACTGCTGGGTCTTGTCAGCATTGTGATGCTGTAGCCCTCTGGGTGGACATGGAAGGATGTCAGCAGAGTTCCAGACATGTGGAGATGCAGGTACAGTTGGGTTCCAGGACAGAATGTAGTCTGTTGAGGGCTAGGCTCTAAAAATGTCACTATAGTGCAGCTGCTTGGGTCTGGGGAGGTGTATGGAGCCCAGCACAAACACCCTCTCTGAAACAATACCATTGTATGGACTCCAGGCAGCTCCCTATACTAATCTCAGGATCTGCAAGGGTCAAGGGGCTTTCCCATGGCTAGGATTTCAGGAATATGCAGAAGGAATGTGGACTACTGGACATCTCTTGCTGGCTTTTTCCCTGCACTAAGGAGTTTATCTTGGCTTTGAGCCAAATCTGGCCAGTCCAGCCTTTTCACTTTCCTCTCCTTTTGTGCTTCAGGAGTTCCCCGTCACTTCCCTGCTGAATTCCAATGTTCTCTCTTAGATGCTCTCTGCAACATGTGATTATCTACTTGCTGTTTTGGTTCTTCTTTGTGGAAGAGGTTAGTGCTGGGTACTTCTAGTCAGCCATCCATTTTGTAGGCCCCTCCCCAAGTATTTTATTTTTATGAGAACCATTGGCAAAAATTCTTTTTCCTGCAGTAATGCTGTTTGAATTTCACCTTTAAAGGCAAAAAATACCTCCTTAGTGTGAGATCTGAAATCAAGTTATAAATCTTTACTAAAATATTAGCCTCAAAGATTAAGGCTAAAGACAGTAAATATGGATTCAGAGTCCTTGTTTGTTTTAACCCACCTCATTTTCTTAACTTTTCCATCATATATACCACACAATGAAAATTTTGAGTTTATCAACTTGTCAGGGAAAAGGATTGTGAGGAACAAAACCTTAAAAAGCAAAGTAATGATCATCACAATGTCATCACAATTTCCCCCAGGAATAAAGCTGAGTGCAACATATGACCTATACAAATGTAAGAGGAAGTTCTATTGCTATTTGGTGTATCTTACATCTTGCTTTAGTAATTAAAGGATATCTCCATAGTGTCAATTTTTGACTATTCCTAGTTGATTTTTATTCTTGCCATAGCTCTCTCCTATTCAATCAGCATCTCTCCTTATCCCAGTTGGTGTGCTGTCCTGGGGAATGTCATATTAGCCCCTACAAAAATAATTTAGGCAACAAGTTTTCCTCAATTAAGTTCACAATATATTTGTACAATAAGTGTGATTAAATTTTGTGTAACATTTACTTCTGTTTTTCTAGAGAAATCTGGAAGTAGAAGGACTTGAAAAATGTATGATTAGTATACATGTTTAGCTTTATTATAAAATGACCCAGTGGGTTACTTGATATGAAAGGTTTTTACTGTTCATTTGATTCTATTTATTATTTGTTTGTTTTAGTTGTTGACTAAGTTTGGTTCTAAATATAAAAAGTTGCAAAACAGTACATACATACTAAATCTGGAGTTTAACTTCTGGTGTATTCATCTATTTTGTATTCTGTAGAAGGGAAGCACCTGCTGGAAAAATACACAGATAACTGATAACTTCTACAAAATTATATCATAAGCTATGTACTAAAATCTGTATAAAAAGAACAGTATAGTAAATCTCTCCTAACACTGGACTACATATTTGTTCTACAGGAGTTAAGACAGATTGCATGAATTCACCTATAATCTCTAATTTAGACTTCCTTGGAATTATGCATTTATAAAAGCATAGAAAATATTCAGTCTAACTCTACTACTTAAAGAAAAATAATGTTAATTCTCATCATATGTTTATTATTAGTGTTGTTTTTTATTAGTAGTTGTGGTCAATAAAAAGGTTTATGATAAAATGAACTCCAATAGAAAGTCCAGTTTCTTTTATATCTTAGAATTTTGCTGCATCAAAAACTACTTGAAGCCAATATAATTTGTAAATATTTTCTGATGTGAAATCTACTTGTAATATTATTGTAGGTATTCTAGGTTTTCCTTGGAATTTTTCAGAAAAATTTTAATTTAAAATGTTTGAGGTGTTCAAGTCTAATGATTTGAGAAATGCAGCCATTCCATATTGGCTGTTGTTCGTCATGTTTTTTTTGTCGTTGCTGTTGTTTTTTGAGACAGAGTCTTGCTCTGTCACCCAGGCTGGAGTGCAGTGGCGTGATCTCAGCTCACTGCAACCTCTGCCTCCTGGGCTGAAGCGATTCTCCTGCCTCAGCCCTCCTGAGTAGCTGGGACTACAGGCGCATGCCACCAAGCCCAACTAATTTTTTTTTGTATTTTTAGTAGAGACTGGGTTTAACCACATTGGTCAGGCTGGTCTCGAACTCCTGATCTTGTGATCTGCCTGCCTCAGCCTCCCAAACTGCTGAGATTACAGGTGTGAGCCACCGTGCCCAGCCCATCATGTTTTTATTGTTAGATGCTTGGTGTTTCTCAGTCATTTGGATGGTATTGATGTCATAAGAGCAGATAATTAACATGCGATCTTTATTTTAACATTCCTCATGACATTTGTTGCCTTTGCTCAGAAAAACGATCACAGTCATGAAATTTCCTAAACTGACAATGAGGGTAAAACTACTTACATTCAGCCTAATTTAAAATGCCATAATAATTTCTTTCTTTAGTCTTGCTTCTTATCAATATTGAATATCAGTAGATGTAAAAGATATATTTATAGTTAACTTATAAAAGATATATTAAATTAGAAGTCTGATGTCTCTGTCACAGTGAATAATTAACTTATAAGAAATGGAAAATAAATAGCTGAAAATGACTGATGTAGAGATTGTAATCACAGGCAGGAGAGGGCTACAAAATCAGAAGAGTGCAAACATTCAGAGATAAAAGAAACTCTCTAGCTATATGAATGAATAAATTGAGTCTGTGACTCTTTGGAAGCTATTTTGTAGTATCTATATACTTGAACTTATGATTTCAGAATCAGATATATGAATGAGCAGTAGATAAGAAAAAAGTCCAGAAATATATGGTTTGCTTTAGTTGGGAGCTTGGTCTTAAAATGACCAAATGGATTCCTTGACCATGAAATGTTTTTATTGTTTATTTGATTGTATTTCTTTTGGGTTTGTTTGTTTCATATTTTAGCTCATTTTGGTATTGGGTAGTCTATCAATTTACTATAAAAGTATTTAGTTGATTTGCTTTTGTTATTTCAAAAAATATGCACAACTTTTGATAAAACAGTAAATTGTTAGCTTGCTTTATTTTTTATTTTTTGTATATATTTTGGCATTGTTTTAATTCCAAAGTTTTCCAACTCTTAGAAACACCTAAGATGTTTAAATATATTATATCATACACTGATGAAGCAACAGCAATAGCTAGAAAGCAAGGAAAAAGTAATCAGAATAACTAAAGAAGCTCCTTATGACATATTTTAACAACCTTCCTTCTTATCATAAGATATGCCACAAGAAAAGGTCATAAATGAAATGAAAGGCAATGCTAGGGATTACATATTGGATGTTAGATCCTAAATATGTGTGCATTATAGCATATTAAAAATCTGACCTCAATAAAACAGGTAATCTATTAAAAACTTTAACCATGTCTATAATTACTGAAAGGATTGGTATGTTAAAAGACCCACAAAAACTTGAGGAAATTTTATGAATCCTAAGGGAATAAATATAACTGAATTAAGACCTAAGAATGATATTTCAGCAACAGAGGAAATGCTTTTGTGATTACCAAGTATATCACTTTTACAAGTGTATTTTATTTAGTTGCATTTCCTAGTCTTATCTTTAAAATTTATTGAAGTAGATTATTATTTTTAACAGTTCTGCAAAGAGAGAAATCAACTAGAGTTTTATGATTTGAAAATTATTTTGCTCAAACAGCTTTATGTCTGTAAGAAAGTAAAATTTCTGAAATCCAATGTGATGAAATTGGACTTGCTGACACTCTTGAATTAATGTAAGGAAAACCTATATACATTCAAAGTAATTTAAATAACCATGATCTGTGCCTTTTCTTAGACTTTAAAATGGAAATGATGACACACTGCCTGTATCCACTTCCTAGGATGTGGTAAAGATTAATTTGATATTTTAAATAGGAATAGATCAAAAATTGATGGAGTTAGAGTATCAGAGAAATGTGTGTAATGTTATTAGGTAAAAATATATTATTCACTGAGATGTGGCAAGATTTTTGCTTGGCACTATATTTTCTATGAATTACTTCAGTTATGTAGGTAGCAATGATCTGCTTATAAACTTTTAGCTTGAAGCCTCTTTGAAAGAGATTCTAATATGTGTCAAATTTTCTGTTCTTTAACCAATTCTTTTTAATATCAAAACAACCTCCTGGAAAATTCATCTTAAATTTAATTTGTTGATTAATAGAATCTAAGAAGATCCTCATTTCTGCCTAAAAATGTGTGGCTTAAACGCAGTGTCAGCCTTCCATCGGTATTTACAGAAAATTAACTTCTGAGATGAACTGATACGAAGCAAATTTCTGTATTCAACTTAATGAATTAACAACATGTGTTAGTTACATTATTTTCCATTATGTAAACTTGTCAAATAGCAAACAAATGTCACAGAGCCACTTAAAACCATGATTTATTTGTATTAAATTCTAGTAATTCATTTTATTTATTGGTATTAGCACTGTATCTTTTAAAATTAGCTTTTATATGAACTCGAGACCTCCTATGGAGACAGAGGAGGCAATGACCACATAGCTAATTCTTAGAGGTCTTTGATTTGAGATGTGGCACTCTGAGTCCACGCAGCATAATGAATAGAACTACTTTTGAAGCTTAACCTACATACCCATATTTTAGAATCAAGATAATGAAATAAATCACTTAAGTAAATGTCTTGTTCAGTTACAGAAAAAATAAGGGATTAGTAAATAGTAAGGAATAAACAAAAAAATTTTAAAAGATCCTAATGAAAATAAGAGCCAGACTGAATGTTGAAGATGATGTTCAGTAGGAAAAGGTGAATGATTTTTAAAAATGACTTATAAATAAATATTAGGCAAAGACTCAAAAAAATGTTTAAAACTCTCAGATGACTAAACAGAAAATAGAAGATAAAAAGGTCAAAAAGAACTATTCGGATTTAAAAGATATAAAAGAACAAAGCACAGCAGGTAATAAAATAAATAAGATAAAGTTTAGAATGGTGCAGTCTGCAAATGAGAAGCTGATAAAGAGAAAGGAATTCAATAAAGAACAATATAAGTAATTGAGGCAGAAAAAAAAACTCTTACTTTAAAAAGACATACTATAGGCATACAGATGTTTCACTTAACATATAATAACTAAATGACTAGTGGTTAATATTTTTTTACCTTCTCACAGTTTTGTATAGTAGATTGTATGGGAAATTTGATCCATTTGAATGACCTACGTGAGGTGAACATTTTGATGCCTATGTTATTATTTTTTAGTAAAGACTAGGTCACAGAAATATAACAAGTCAATAACTCAATCCTAAGTCTTATTTTAAGTTAACCATTGACAACGCAACTCAATTGATTTACTCATTAGCCATTGTTCTGTACAGCTTTCAGAAAGAAAGTCTGCAAATAATTTCTTTCACATTTTTTAGGGCCTGAGAACATAGCAAAGGTGCTATTGGAGCCCTTAGAAGTAATCTATGCATTGAGTATTCATCTGTTATTTTAGTGCCTATTACGCCCCCCAAATTTGAGGGGACAGCTACCATGAAAACTACAAATACAGAACAAACACAAATTTAAAATAACAACAATAATAATAACACAAAGCACAATGGAGAAGAAAATCTTTCCTAAAACCCAAGTCTTAATATAGCTCTAAGCCCCAAACTTAAGTTTGACTATGCTAGAAATGGGGGACAAAAAGGCACTATGTATTGTTACATAAATTTCATCTAATGGCTAGCTATCAATGTAGCCATTAAACAAATGAGATCATGTCCTTAGCAGGGACATGGATGGAGCTGGAGGCCATTGTTCTTAGCAAACACAGGAACAGAAAACGAAATACTGCATATTCTCACTTCTAAGTGGGAATTAAATGATCAGAACCCATGGATACATAGAGAGGAATGACACTCACAAGGACTTTTTGGAGGGTGAAGGGTGGGGGGAAGGAGAAGATCAGGAAAAATAACTAATGAGTAGTGGGCTTAATGCCTTGGTGATGAAATAATCTGTAAAACAAACACAGGTTTACCCATATAACAAATCTGCACTTGTACCCCTGCACTTAAAAGCTTTTTTTAAAAAAATGTTGCTCTAGAATTCAACACTGTGAATTTAACCACAGACAATGAGTAAAACATAAATAATGTCTGATATCATTTTAGGAATACTAAAAAACATTTTATTTTTCCACAGCATTGTTCTCATTGAATATACTTATCATTCTAAAATCCATATCAGATTATGTCATTTAATGAATTAAATCTTTTGATGGCTTCACATCGCCAGTGGTAGTCCTCAAAGTGTGATCTTTCAATGGCTATGAACCATTGGAGTTAATTACAAAATGTGCAGATGCTTAGATCTCCATTTCAGACCTTCTGAAGGCAAATATCTGAGGACAAGACACCCAGTGTCTGTGTTCCAACAGCTCTGTGGATGAATTGATGACACTAAAGTTTGAAAAACATTGGCCTCCTCATTAGAGCCTTTCCCATTTGGCTTAGCTTTCCCAGGGTCATCATCTCTGAGTGCTCTGTGTCTTTTGCAATATCTTTCTCTACAGCTGTAGCTACATCCTATGCACCTTGGACTTCTTACCATGCATTTCCATGTCTAGCCTGCCTTTGAGCAGATTCCTGTGCCTGGAGGGAGTACCTTGTCTCTTTTTGATGGGCTGTAGAGCGTCTGTCTCACAGAATTCTGGGTTAAAGGTTTTCTCTTCTCTGATGCTTTTCCTAATCATTCCAAACAGCATTTACGGTTTTCATGTCTGCACCTGGCTGATTACATACTTACACAACTCTTAGAACTAATATTGTATTATTACGCTCTTGGTTGTTAATATTGCTCACAAAATTTTTAGTATCCCAATGATTGTGATTGGAATTGGCAACAAATATTTGCAATGAATTGGAAAGGATGTATAAAAGGTGTCTGAGTTGATAACTAAAATCCAAGTTTCCTGATAACTATTTATTTAAATTTTGCATATGCTTCCTTAAAGTTATTTGCTGAAGATACAACCCATATAATTTACCTTTTGAAAAGTGATTTGCATTAACATTTAATAAATGAGTTAAAAAACATCTAAATCACTTTCAGTACTATTGTGGCTGTTACTTTATTACTGGATAAATTGAAGAGCAAACATGGATATCTGTTATTCTAAATCAGAAGCATCTAAGAGAAGAATGTGTTAATAGATAACTATCTCAGATAGAAGTAAATACAACACAATAAAAGTATGACAACTACTTAAAAACATCAAAAGAGATACACATATTCTACACGATTTTTTGCCTCCTACAGAACACCGAATGAGCTAATTTCACTAGTCAAACAAATAAAGCATGAAAACAGGGGTTCTGAAGAGCAAGAACAGCCCTCTGGGATGAAAAGTGAGTAATTTTTACTTAAAAAAGATGTACACAGTGTCCTCTTATACAGCAGAGTGCTTGTGTCACTGTTCCCAAGCCTTTTTTTTCTGACAATGAGAGCTATATTCAATTAACCTGCTGTCTGAGAGATAGATGGTGGAGACATTTTAATGCACCAAGAGTGTTGAGATAGGACATTGGATTACATTGTTATTTCAGATCAATAAATATACATTGGAGTCTGAGGATCAAATTTAAGGTGGCTATGACCTACTAGTTTTTTGCATAAAAATCTGAGCAACTAACCAGTTGGATAAAATATAAACAAATAAGTAACTGTAAAAACCTAAACAAATAACGGGTTGTATAAAACCTGAATGTCTAACTTTCCAGTCTACAATAAGATTACGTGATTTATACCCTTTGATTTCCGTTCTTCCTCTTATTCCTTACTCCAGATTTCTGACTGGGGTCCTGTATTTGAATCTTATTAATTCCCTTAGTCTTTGTTATCCCTAATTATAGAGCTGTCAATCTCAAAACCCACAAAAGAGGGAAATTTGAAAACATTCTGGATTTGTATTATACTATTGAATGCATTGTGGGTTTTTTCATGTAGCTGGAAGGAGACAGCTTTAAATGAACTTTTCACAGGGAAAAAATAGGTGAGTGTTTAACAGGAAAAAAAGAAATTGACAGACATATAATTATTTTAGTGTCTCCATTTTGTTTCTTTCTTCCTTTTTGTCAGCTGCCTTCTCTCTTGACTCACCAACATACTCCCCAAAAGTTGTTTTGTTCAGTGCTCTTTCATCACATGTACAAAGCAGGCTGAACAGGCATCTGCTTAGGTTTTCTTCTTCAGGTAAAGCCTGCAGAGTTGAGCTCCAGGAGCTGGAGGATTGAAACCTTCAGAATCCCAGGGGATTTGGCCCACAGCAAGAGCAATAGACTCAAAAGTTGCATACAGAAGAACTGCCCTGCAATTGTGATTTTTCAACACAAAAACCATTCATGTGGGCACAAGCCAGGAGGATCTATAAAACAATCGACCACATGTTTTCAATTAGCGAGGAGCCAAGAAATGCACATGAGTTGAATGCCAGAAATGAGTTTCACTCTGTATGCATGTCAATATCCTTGTAATCCTACTGGCATCTATAATAATTATGATTCAGGTGAAGGAAACAAAAAGAAGTCAGAGGTGATATGCAAAAAATGTTTTGCAAAATGAAAGAGAGAAGACAGGAGAATACTTCAATAGGGAATTACTCTAATTTTATGAATTTTAGCTTTTTATCCCTTTGTATGGTAGCTGTTTCTATAACTGGCTTATCTAGAGATGCCATTAAAATCCAATAGATTTTATAAAAAATATGCATGTTTCAAACATTTAGAAGGCTGCATTTATTGAAGAGAAATCCCACAATGTGTATTTTAGTATCTTATGGTCAAAAATATAAAGTATTTACTCTTTATCCCAAATATCTAAAACAGAAAGATCAGCGCAAAACAAAAACTTGCTAAATATTAAAATGTTTATTTTTGAAATTACAGTTTTTTAGATAACATATATAAGTTATATGTTTTGTATCTATATAATATATATCATTGGTTTTGTATACTTTAAATGAAAATTAGATATATGTTATAATATCTGAGATATTATTTAAATGAAAATTAGATATATATCTAATTAGATATATATCTAATTTTCGTTTAAATAAAAGTATACAAAACTAATTCTACGTGTTAAATTATTACTTAATTGTAACTAAATTATATTAGCACAGCTATTAGAAATCATGTTTTAGATTCATTTTATAAAAAGGGAAAGGTGATAGACTAGAGAATTGCTTTAGAGACATTATCATCTTTATTTAAAGAATTCATACCTGGTATTATCCTTTGACATTTCACATGCATTCTATGAATATGTATTGATATAAGTCCAGATGAGATTATTTCCATAAAATCTGTCTGGTAGATTGCCGAATAAGCATTAGTAATATATTGGTGGAAACTGGCTGAATGTTTCCTTATTAGTAGAATGTCTAAAATAGTATATCTTGATACACTATTTATTTCACTATGACTTCAACTATGAAATTTTTGTCTAAAATCAACAGGAGATGGACTGATTTTCTTACCAAAAGAATTGTAATATTATCAGTTATTTTAAAGGCAGATAGACTCAATCCTCCAGAATCCAGAATTTAGCTTCATTAAAGAAAATACTTACCTTTCCTTCATAAAGATTATGGTCATTTATTTTATCCCATCCCATTTTAAACTTCCTGACTTTCCTTCTCTTGTTACACTCTAATTACTTTTAAAATATGCAAACTGGACTTTAAAATTAAGGATTACTTGATTCTTGTGACTCTAATATAATCACACATTTCTTTCATGACATGGAAGGTAACTTATCATACTATATGAAAGGTGGTTCTTTATTCCAAAGGGAACTGGAATGAATGTCAGATTTATCTAAGGGAAAAAATGTTAGTGACACTTTATATCAATTGCTTTTTCTCTTCCCAAAATGCAAATTCGTTTAATATTTGGTAGCAACTAACAAATTATAATAAATGACTCAGGACTGCTGGGCTGGTGATAATGTTGAAGCACATTTTTTTTTCTTCTGTGAAGAATTAGTCAATCAAGCCATCAACAAATATATGTGATTAATAAAACTATATTTATTTCCTCCAGCTTGAAATTTCTAGTTATTATACTCTAAGCAAGATGCAATGCTAAGTGCTTAGATGGTTCCCAAGTTCTTTTTGTAAGGCACACTAAGTAAAAACAAAGATACACTTTCAAAGACACATATGGTAATTAAAGCTTCAGTAGTTTAAATAATTGTTCAAAATTATTAGTTACATCCCTCCTTTTACTTTCATGGAGGAGTGTATTTTCCTGCTCCTTGCCTTTGGACTCAGCCATATAAATTGCTTTGGCTAGTGGAATATTAGTAATCATGATGAAAGCAGGGACTTGAAATGTTTATTGTTTGGTTGTACGTACTGTCTTTTGCCTCTTCCAATCACTATCAGATGAACACATCCTGGCTAGGCCTCTTGCTCAAGGAAGAAAAGTGACAAAAGAACAGGGCGACCTAGCTAACTTAACAGACCTGCAGCTTGAACCCAAGCTGCACAGAAGTATCAGCCTAGTCCTGAAACACCCCACAGACAAGTTAGTTAACCCAACTAAATTCACAGATAATTCACATGCATGAGATGCATGAGAAGAACTTCTTTTTGCATGCCATATTTTATTGTCTGTTACAGAGAAATAGTGGACTGAGATAAAAGCTAATATTTATTTATTAATCTCTTACTATGTGCCAGATACTATTCAAGAGCATTATATTTATCAAATTTTAAAATTGTTATCATTTTGAGACAGGGTCTCACTTTGTCAATCAGGCTGGAGTGCAGTGGTGTGATCTTGGCTCACTGCGGCCTCAACCTCCCACCTCAGCTTCCTGAGTAGCTGGGACTATAGGCATGCAACACCATACCCAGTTAAATTTGTTTGTATTTTTGGTAGAGACGGGGTTTCATCATGTTGCCCGGTGTGGTCTTGAACTCTTGAGCTCAAGCAATCTGCTCACCTTGGCCTCCAAATTGTTGGGATTACAGGTGTGAGCCACCATGCCTAGCCTATTTATCCATTTTAAAAAATCTTCATTACAATTCTATGTGATTATTGCAATTAGCATCCCTCTTTTACTCTAAAGGAAACTGAGACACAGAGAGTTAAAAATGTGTCTAATATGGATATGGCAAAGCAATTCATATTCTTGCCGTGTATGTGTGTATCTTTGTGTGTGTGTGTGTGTGTAGAACTTGAGTTCCAGAGCCACTCAAGTTACTGACCCTCAATAAATGTGACACATTTAACTTAAGCCAGTATGCAACACGGGGTGGTAATAATCAATATAAACATTTTAAAAAATAGAGAAATCATTTTTACCCAGAATGGACAGGGACCTAGAATAGATGAGAAATGAATAAAGATGCTTCTTTAGCACCATAGCTCCAAGGGAGGCATCTGTACCTCTGAGCAATCAATCGTAGCTGATAAGTTTATTGTTTAAAAATATTCAAAACAAGAGAGATCCACAAGCAAATGAATGTAAGGGAAAAAAACAATTCTAGTTTCTTTCTATGCAGCCACTTACTAGGCCTACTCCAAGGACAAGGCTGTGAAATTTATTTTTGGCAATACGGGGCAATGTATTGAGCTACTGTTATTGGTGAGCTGGTTTACCCTTTTTAAAAGGCATGATCTCAGACCCAGCAACCTCTTTTCCTTTCTCTCTTCTACTTCATGCAAGATCAGGAGAGAAGTGGACTCAAAAACATTTGGGACATTTTCCCTCTACCATAGTTTTTCTCTACCCATATGATCATTCTTTCTCTGTTTTACAATTTTCTTTATCTTAGACAGTTAAAGTTTTCTATTGCCTCTACGTATAATGCCCTATCGATTTCATATCTTTATACTCAGCATCCTTGTGTATATCTACAGATCTCTAGGGAAGGGACAAAATGTTGCCAGTCTCTTTGCATAGCAAGAGTCATCTTTACTCCAGTCCCCAACGAGTTTCTCATCTCCATCTGAGACCACCTCAGCCTGAACTTTATTGTCCATATCATTATCAGCATTTGGTCAAAGCCATTCAACAAGTCTCTAGGAAGTTCCAAACTTTCCCACATTTTTCTGTCTTCTTCTGGGCCCTCCAAACTATTCCAACCTCTGCCTGTTACCCAGTTCCAAAGTTGTTTCCATATTTTTGGGTATCTTTACAGCAGTACCACATTACCTGGTACCAATTTATTAGTTTGTTCTCACGCTGCTAATAAAGACATACTAGAGACTGGGTAATTTATAAAGAAAAAAGTTTTAATTGATTCACAGCTCAGCATGGCTGGGGAGGCCTCACAAAACTTACAATCATGATGGAAGGGGAAGTAAACGCATCCATTTTCACATGGCAGTAGCAAGGAAAAGTGCCAGGCAAAAGGGGGAAAAGCCCCTTATAAAACCATCAGATCTCGTGAGAGCTCACTCACTATCATGAGAACAGTATGCGGGTAACTGTCCCCAAGATTCAATTACCTCCCACCAGGCCTCTCCCACAACATGTGGAGATTCTGGGAACTACAAGTCAAGAGAAGATTTGAGTGGGGACACAGCCAAACCATATCAGAGAGAGAGAGTGAGAAAGAGGTGGGGAGATAGACAGAGAGAGGGAGGAAAATTGCCACACTACAATTGTGTTGAACTGAAGATCTTACATGGGGATATTGTGAAGGAAATTCTCTTTATGGAAAGGAAGATAACTAATATATACTGAGCACATTTTAAGTAGGTATCACACAAGAGATATTCTTTCTCTACTGCTGCTTAGTTTTTACAGTGTTTCCATTTGTTATACTTTATGGCTGAATTCAATGAGACACAGGGAGGGTAAGTAAGTTGCAAACTGTCTTTGGCTTGGGAAGCAGTGGTGCTGGGACCCTGTCTGGATCAAAAGTCCACTACTACTATCATGCTTGTGACTTGTCTTAAGAGAAGTAAGTTAAACTAAGGATTTTGTCTTTCATTAATTTATGTATGATTTTCACATGGATCTTAAGGAACTGCAGTTATGATAGTCTTGAAGTGCAGTACTTTCCAGAGATGCTGATTTTTATTTGTGTAAGCAAAGTTAGCTTACCTGAAAGGAAGCCGTTTCTGAGGAGATACCTGTGCAGTGTGTCAACCTTTTCTTACTACACACATAGGCTTAGGTTCAGGCCTGATGAATTATACTTAACCTACCCTCTGGTTAATATTTGCCTTTGGCTGATGCTCAAAATCAAGTTCATATTGGTGCTAATATAAAATCTAAGGCGAGAAAAGCCTATGGCTTTCCATTGCTTTTTCAAAAAACATCAACATAAAGAAACTAGATTTACTTTGTCCTACTATTAACAGTTCATTGAAAGTAGAGGTTCAAGTGAAACTTCACTGCTGCCAAAATATAGGGGCAGACACACCCAGAATAAGCTTCTGCAAGTATCAGTGGCTGAAGGCCTGGAGTGAATAGCTGCTTTTCAAAATTTTCAGGAATAAAGATGAAGAATGGCTATAGGGATCGTCTTCAGCACAAATCTGATTATCCTTCTGAATTAGGTTGCCTAATGTGCTGTGTTTTCTTCTGTCTATTCTCCAGCTGCCTGGAGCCTCCTTCCCTCATTCAGAACCCACTATCCTGTCCTCTGGGCTGGGCTGGTAAGAGGGTACATGTGCTCTCCCCTTGGCAAAGATCACAGAAACTGACATCTTTTCTGAATTCTGGCTTGTAAAGAGGGGTATTATTTTTGTGGTTGCTTTTGCTCTTTATTGAAAAAATCCCTTTTTCTCAAATGCCTATTTTTAAGTTAAGTAGTGGTTTCCATCTAGTGCAATAGAGGTATTTCTCTTTAATAATTTCTCTGTTCATATTTTTCATGATGGTTACAGCTAAAATTATTTAATTCCACTTTTTATCATCATTTTAAATACTTGTTAAATACTTAATGGTTCATACTGAGGAGCGGTCAAATATGGTCCTGAATTCTGAGCTTCTCCAGATCATTAAAAACTGGCAATTTACTTACCATATTTTCTTTTTCTGATAAAACAAAAGAAATCATATTATAAATGACATACATAACTCTGAGTGGTATTAAGGGAGTATGTTTTTAATAGAACTAGGTCTGTTTATTATGCTGTGAATTAAAGAATTATAGCACTTGAGAAATCTTAATGTTTACTGTGAAATTTGCTAGGTGCTATATGTCAACGCAGCAGTTACACACTGCTTGACTCATTCCAGAAGCCCTGATTCCCCAGGTACAGCTAACCTAGCCAAGTCTCTTTTGGTCAGTAGTTGAGAGACTTACAAAAGTTTAGGATCTTAGATTGTTAAGAATTAGATGGATTTAGAATATTATCAAGTTTAATCCTCTTTATTTTACTTAAAACGAAATTTAGGCAAAGTTCTCAACTTTGGTGGGCTTCAGAATCATTTGGAGACCTTGCTAAGGCACAGATTGCTGGGCCCCACACCCAAAATTTTGATTCACTAGGTCTGTATGAGATCAAAGAGTATTTCTTTTTTTTTCTAACTTTTAAAATAGTTAAATTCAAGGAATTGATCCTTTGCTTTTCATTTATTTTTTAAAATGTTTTAATTGAAATCATATATATTTAAGGCATACAATATGATGTTTTCATACATATATATACATAGTGAACTGATTACTACAGTCCAGCCAACTGACATATTCATCTCTTCACAAAGTTACTTTTTTCTTCATATCTACTCTTTTAGCAAATTTCAAGTGTACAATAAACTATTACTAACTATAGTCCAATATCTTTCCATTCCCCTGTCCCTCCACCCCTGGCAACTACCACTTCATTTTTTCCTGCTATGAATTCGACTTTCTTTGATTACACACATCATAGCATTTTTGCTTTCTCTATGTGGCTTATTTTGCACAGCATAATGTGCTCCAGGTTCATCTATGGCAGAATTTCCTTCCTTTTTAAGGCTAATTAATATTCCATTGTATGTATATAATACAATTCTGTATCCATTAATCTGTTAACAGACCCTTTGGTTGTTTCCGTATCTTGGCTACTGTGAATAATGAACACACAATGAACATGGGCCTGCAGATATCTCTTCAATGGACTGACTTCATTTCCTTTGTATATTTATATCTCCAGAAGAAGGACTGCTAAATCATACAGTAGTTCTATTTCTAATTATTTTAGAAACTGCCGTGTTGTTTTCTGAAAGTACTTATTTCTAACAAGTTCCCAGGTGATCCTGATGCTGCTGGTCCCCAGACCACTCTGGAAGAACTTAAAGAACTGGCTTAAGGGTTGTCTTGGCGATGCGGGCTCTTTTTTGGTTCCACATGAACTTTAAAGTAGTTTTTTCCAATTCTGTGAAGAAAGTCATTGGTAGCTTGATGGGGATGGCATTCCATCTATAAATTACCTTGGGCAGTATGGCCATTTTCATGATATTGATTCTTCCTATCCATGAGCATGGAATGTTCTTCCATTTGTTTGTGTCCTCTATAAAGACACATGCACACGTATGTTTACTGTGGCACCATTCACAATAGCAAAGACTTGGAACCAACCAAAATGTCCATCAATGATAGACTGGATTAAGGAAATGTAGCACATGTACACCATGGAATACTATGCAGCCATAAGAAAGGATGAGTTAATGTCCCTTGCAGGGACATGGATGAAGCTGGAAACCATCATTCTCAGCAAACTATCGCAGGGACAGAAAACCAAACACCGCATGTTCTCACTCATAGGTGGGAACTGAACAATGAGAACACTTGGACACCAGGGCCTGTCGTGGGGTGGGGGGATGGGGGACGGGTAGCATTAGGAGAAATACCTAATGTAAATGATGAGTTGATGGCTGCAGCAAAGCAACATGGCACATGTATACATATGTAACAAACCTGCACGTTGTGCACATGTATCCTAGAACTTAAGTATAATAAAAACAAACAAACAAACAAAAAACAAAAAAACAAAAAGAAAAAACACAAAAAACTGGCTTAAGGAACAAATTAAGAGCCAAAACCTGTACCTCTTCACTTCCAAAGCAGTGTTTGGCCACTATACCATGTGTCCTTTGTTGAGGAGATTTCAGTTCCAAAAATGATAAATAATGTCCTGAAGTCCTTTCTCATCTGTAGCTACCTCATTTGGGAATCTCAATGACCATGAAAGCAGGTCTTGGGACATTGGGTTTAAGCAGCATTAGTACTCATTTTAACAAAACCTGTCCCAAGGAAGGGGTGCTGCCTGCTCTATGGAGCCCTCCAATCTTGAGAGGACAGAGGAGATGGAAACAAAGATCTAGGCTAAAGCAACTAGTCCTTGGCAGGGAGGAGATGAGGAGACCCTGACAAAAGTGTCCACAGAAGGATGAAAAGAACAAAAAGAAGAAGGGAGATCTTCACCCATACTGAACACTGTCCCATTGTCCTTTCTATTTTTTTATTTTTTCCTCTGGGAATAAGAAGTATTTAAATTTTATTTTGGATCTTCTTTTTGTTATATTAGGAAACTGTAAGTTGAATAATCCTATATTAATATTATTAACATAAACTATATTACAGATTTTCTTTTCTAAGAATTTCTTTTCTCTAAACCAACAGAAGACTTTGTACCAAATATCAGGTAAGCAGCCACATCTAGTATTTTTCAATGAGTCTGCTGTCTGAAACCCAGCCTAGGCCTATCTTTATCTCCAAGTTGCAGGTGTAACTACACCACAGGCCTCTCACCTCCTATCTGCTGAGCTAAGGAGGTCATCAGCACCACTCAACTGGTAATCTCACTGCCCACAGCTGCCAATTTTGTGAGAGGCTGGAATAGCTAATGAAGGTAGGTGTGCATTCATTTGCAGAGGATTCACAAGCAGTGTCTATTTTAAATCTTTGCTCCTTTCATCATTTCTCTGTCATCCAGCCCCAAACTCCACCCCAAATAAAAGTTTCCACAGAAGAAAATCTGTCATGGCAGGTGTCGGTCAATGAAGCAGAAAAAAATTCCTATTTATTCCACAGTCTGCAGGTTGTATGATCAGGGAATTATAACCAATTTAGAGCTTTACGGTACCTTCTTTATAAGCAAATTATAAATAGATCTATTAAGTTTAACAGATAACATGGAAGAAGCAGGAATAATAAAATTTGAAAAAAATTGAGAAAAAAATCACTTTAGAGGCCCATAGATACATGCTCTTAAAACATCTTCTGGGGTTCCTAGTGTTGCCACTTGAAGCATGAGGTATTATAAGCAATGTTCAGTAAATTCTTTTTAGGTTCCAAACTATTCATACAAAATATAACTTACATTTTCCAGTAAGTGACTACAAACTTGACACTTCATCTTGGATCTTTCTAGATATTTCTTGGATCTTTCTTGAATTACAACACATGACTGCAGATTTGATGCTCCATCTTGGATCTTTATGGATATTTCTTGGATCTTTCTTGGATTATACTAAGTGACTACATATCTGATGCTTCATCTTGGATCTCGCTGAAGATTTTCGATGCTTCATCTTGTATATGCATCTTTATTTCCCCCTCCTTCTGAGCTCAAGTGTTGTGGGTATTCTTATATCCCAGGGGCTTCATCAGCACAACACATTAGCACATCATTTTTTATTTGAAATGTTTTCTCCTTTTCTCCTTGCCTATTTAACTCCTTCCAATATTTCAAGGCTTAAACAAACATCTTCCTCTTATTTTCAGCTTCTTTTAATGATTGCTGTTTATATAAAATTCTCTGCTATGTACTATTATAGTAGCATCTATCTATGTATCTATCTGTCTACTTACATATCTATCTAACTACTTACCTATCTCTCTATATATTTTTTTTACTACAATTTAGCCCTGGAGCATTTACCTCCTTGCTTTATTCTCAAATTTCAGGAAGCATCTCTTATATTGGTATGGTTGGGCTACATGATAGCAGCTCAATGAGAACTTAATTATGAAGAGTATCCACTTCAAGATAAGGCTGATATTTTTAAAAAATGTCATATAGCTTCTAGCTAACAGTCTCCAATCCTATCCATTGACCATGGCTGAATTGTTAAGAGCACAGGCATAAGAGTCAGACTGCCTGGGTTTGAGTTCAGATTCTACCACTAAGAGAGCATTTTGTACCTCAGGTTCTTCACATATAAAATTAGAATAATAACACCCACTCAAAACATCACTGTGGTCCTCCAGTTAAAGTAGGGCCTTATGGAGGTCAGGTAATTAATGGAGTTTTAGCTCAGATCCGACTTACAGTGGGTCCCTGGACTCATCCTGCAGTCATTTCCCCAGTGCCAGAATGCAAAATTGGCATAGACATACTTAGCAGCTGGCAGAACCCCTACATTGGCTCCCTAACTGGTAGAGTGAGGGCTGTTATGGTAGGAAAGGTCAAATGGAAGCCATTAGAGCTGCCTCTACCTAGAAAAATAGTAAATCAAAAACAATATCACATCTCTGGAGGGATTGAGATGAGTGCCACAATCAAGGACTTGAAAGACGCAGGGGTGGTGATTCCCACCACATCCATGATCAACTCTCCCATTTGACCTGTGCAGAAGACAGATGGATCTTGGAGAATGACAGTGGATTATCACAAGTTTAACCAAGTGGTGACTCCAGTTGCAACTGCTGTACCAGGTGTGGTTTCATTGCTTGAGCAAATCAACACATCTCCTGGTACCTGGTATGCAGCCATGGACTTGGCAAATGCCTTTTTCTACATTCCTGTCCATAAGGCCCACTAGAAGCAATTTGCCTTCAGCTGGCAAGGCCAGCAATATACATTTCCTGTCCTACCTCAGGGGTATATCACCTCTCCAGCTTTGTGTCATAATCTTATTTGGAGAGAACTTGATTGTTTTTCACTTCCATAAGGTATCACACTGGTCCATTACATTGATGACAATGTGCTGATTGGATCCAGTGAGCAAGAAGTAGAAAACACACTGGACTTATTGGTGAGACACCTGCATGCCAGAGAATGGGAAATAAATCTGACTAAAATTCAGGGAACTTCTACCTCAGTAAAATTTCTAGTGGTCCAATGTTGTGGAGCCTGTTGAGATATCCCTTCGAAGGTGAGGGATAAGTTGGTGCATTTGGCCCCTCTTAAAACCAAGAAAGAGGAACAATGCCTAGTGGGCTTATTTGGGTTTTAGAGGCAACACATTCCTCATTTGGGTATATTACTCTGGTCCATTTATGGAGTGACCCAAAAGGTTTCCAGTTTTAAGTGTGGTCCAGAACAGGAGAAGGCTCTCCAACAGGCCCAGGCTGCTGTGCAAGCTGCTCAGCCACTTGAACCATATGACCCAGCAGATCCAATGGTGTTTGAGGTGCCAGTGGTAGATAGGGATGCAGTTTGGAGCCTTTGGCAGGTCACCATAGGTGAATCATAGCAGAGGTCTCTAGGTTTTTGGAGGAAGGTCCTGCCATCTTCTGCAGATAACTACTCTCCTTTTGAGAGACAGCTGTTGGGCTGTTATTGGGCTTTGGTGGAAACTGAACGTTTGACTATGGGTCATCAAGTCACCATGCGACCTGAACTGCCTATCATGAACTGGGTGCTTTCTGACCCATCTACCCATAACATGGGTTATGCACAGCAGCATTCCATCATCAAATGGAAGTGGTATATACGTGATCAGGCTTGAACGAGTCCTGAAGACACAAGTTACATGAGGAAGTGGCTCAAATTACCATGGTCTCCACTCCTGCCACCCTGCCTTCTCTCCCCTAGCCTGCACCGATGGCATCCTGGGGAGTTCCCTATGATCAATTGATAGAGGAAGAGAAGACCAGGGCCTGGTTCACAGCTGCACAATATATAGGCACCACCCAAAAGTGGACACCTGCAGCACTACAGCCCCCTTCTAGGACATCCCTGAAAGACAGCAGTGAAGGGAAATCTTCCCAGTGAGCAGAACTTCGAGCAGTGCACCTGGCTGTCCACTTTACATGGAAGGAGAAATACATCCAGATTTGCTGGATGTATTGATTCATGGGCTGTAGCCAATGGTTTGGCTGGATGGTCAGTACTTGGAAGAAGTATGTTTGGAAAATCGGTGACAAAGAAATTTGGGGAAGAGGTATGTGGATGGACTTCTCTGAGTGGTCAAAAACTGTGAAGATGTTTGTATCCCATGTGAGTGCTCGCCAATGGGTGACCTCAGCAGAGGAGGATTTTAATAATCAAGTGGATAGGATAACCCGTTCTGGGGACACCACTCAGCCTCTTTCCCCAGCCACCCCTGTCATCACCCAATGGGCCCATGAACAAAGTGGCCACAGTGGCAGGGATGGAGGTTACACTTGGGATCAGCAACATGGACTTCCACTAACCAAGGCTGACTTGGATATAGTCACTGCTGAGTGCCCAATTTGCCAGCAGCAGAGACCAACACTGAGTCCTCAATATGACACCATTCCTCGTGGTGATCAGCCAGCTACCTGGTGGCAGGTTGATTATACTGGACCTTTTCCATCATGGAAAGGGCAGAGGTTTGTCCTCACTTGAATAGACACTTACTCTGGATATGGGTTTGCCTATCCTGCATGCAATGTTTCTGTCAAGACTACTATCCATGGATTCATAGAATGCCGTATCTACCATCATGGTATTCCACACACCACTGCCTCTGACCAAGGCTCTCATTTTATGGTTAAAGAAATGCAGCAGTGGGCTCATGCTCATGGAGTTCACTGGTCTTACCATGTTCCCCACATCATCCTGAAGCAGCTGGATTGATAGAACGGTGGAATGGCCTTTTGAAGTCACAATTGCAACACCATCTAGGTAACAATACTTTGCAGGGCTGGGGCAAAGTTCTCCAGAAAGTCATGTATGCTCTGAATCAGCATCCAATATATGGTATTCTTTCTCCCATAGCCAGGATTCATGGGTCCAGGAATCAAGGGGTGGAAGTGGAAGTGGCACCACTCACCATCACTGCTAGTGATGCACTAGCAAAATTTTTGCTTGCTGTTCCCATAACATTATGTTCTGCTGGCCTAGAGGTCTTAGTTCTTTGGAACGCTGTCACCCAGGAGACATAATGATGATTCCATTAAACTGGAAGTTAAGATTGCCACGCTTTGGATTCCTCCTATCTTTAAGTCAATAGGCTAAGAAGGGAGTTACAGTGTTGCCTGGTGTGATTGACCTGGACTATCAAGATGAAATCAGTCTACTACTCCACAACGGAGTTAAGGAAGAGTACACATGCAATACAGGAGATCCATTAGGGCATCTCTTAGTATTACCATCCCCTGTGATTAAGGTCAATGGGAAACTACAACAGCACAATCCAGGAAGGGCTACAAATGACCCAAACCCTTCAGGAATGAAAGTTTGGGTCACTCCACCAGGAAAAAAAGCCACGACCTGCTGAGGTGCTTGCTGAAGGCAAAGGGAATACAGAATGCATAGCAGAAGAAGGAAGTCATCAATGCCAACTACGACCATGTGACCAGCTGCAAAAACCAGGACCGTAACTGTCATGAGTATTTCCTCCTTCTTTTGTTAAAAACACATGTGTGCATGCATACATTTGTACTAAAAAAAATCTTCATTTTCTTTCCTTTTCATTTATCATGTGACGTAAGATTTATTGACTTCATATCAGCATTTAAGTATTGTTAACTTTATGTAATAGTATTTGGGTTAGGGATTGGTGTGTTTCGGTTGTACAAAGGTTGCATTATATTAGGCATAATTATGACTCTATTATTGTCTTTATTTGAAGATTATGTATGATCTCAGGAGATATGTATGGATTCAAGTTGACAAGAGGTGGACTTGTGATGATTAATATTGAGTGTCAACTTGATTGAATGGAAGGATACAAAGTATTGATCCCGGGTGTGTCTGTGAAGGTGTTGCCAAAGGAGATTAACATTTGAGTCAGTGGGCTGGGAAAGGGAGTCCCACACTTAATCTGGGTGTGTTGGGAACAGGCCCCCCAAAATCTGGCCATAAACTGTTCCCAAAACTGGCCATAAACAAAATCTCTACAGCACTGTGACATGTTCATGATGGCCATGACACCCATGCTGGAAGGTTGTGGGTTTACCAGAATGAGGGCAAGGAACACCTGGCCCACCCAGGGCGGAAAACTGCTTAAAGGCGTTCTTAAACCACAAACAGTAGCATGAGCGATCTGTGCCTTAAGGACATGCTCCTGCTGCAGATAACTAGCCCAACCCATCCCTTTATTTCAGCCCATCCCTTTATTCCCATAAGGGACACTTTGAATCTAATATCTATAGAAACAATGCTAATGAATGGCTTGCTGTTAATAAATACGTGGGTTAATCTCTGTTCGTGGCTCTCAGGTCTGAAGGCTGTGAGACCCCTGATTTCCCACTTCACATCTCTATATTTCTGTGTGTGTGTCTTTAATTCCTCTAGCACCGCTGGATTAGGGTCTCCCTGACTGAGCTGGTCTCAGCATGGGTGGGAGCAATCTAATAATCTGCCAGCATGGCTAGAATATAGGCAGGCAGAAAAATGTGAAAAGAGAGACTGGTCTAGCCTCCCAGCCTACATCTTTCACCTATGCTGGATGCTCCCTGCCCTCGAACATCGGACTTGAAGTTCTTCATTTTTGGAACTCAGACTGGCTGTCCTTGCTCCTCAGCCTGCAGATGGCCTATTGTGGGACCTTGTCATCAAGTGAGTTAATACTTAATAAACTCCCTTTTATATATATATATATATATGTGTGAGTGTGTGTGTGTGTGTGTGTATACACATATTTATGTGTGTGTGTATATATATATATTCCATTAGTTCTGTCCCTCTAGAGAACCCTGACTAATACAGATGGGAAACACTAATGTTATAAAATAAAAACAATGTATATAAAAGGCAAATAGGGAAAAGAAGGGAAAAAAAATCACCTCAATTCCATTTTAAGAGAGAAGTTTCCAAAGACAATGAGTGACAGAGCAGAGAGTTATCTACAAATAAGTACCTTGGCTTGCAAATGTAGGGAGACACCCAAAGCAGGCACAGAGCTGAAATGAAACCATTTGATGGAATGGGTTTCTAACCCCTAGGCCTCTGTTCAGACCTATCCCTCTGCTTGGCATTTCTCATTCTTGTTTTCCTATCTTATACCTGTATAGACTTTCCTTAAAAAAATTATATTATTTCATTTATATAAAGTTCAAAATAGACAAAATTAATCTATGGTGTTAGAAACCAGAATAATGGTGAATTTGAGAAAGAAAGTGATTGGAAAGGGTAGGCAGGTGTTTGTACAGCTATAGTTACATTTTGGTTTTCACTGTATGTGCCAGCTCTACTGGTTTTCACTTTGCTACATGTAGGAGATCAGTCGGGGTGGTGAGAAAAACTGTAGAAAGATGCAAACCTTCTTGGAAGGCCAGGAGGTTTTACAAAAGCTTTGGAAAAGGATTTGGCTGAAGGCAGCCTGATTCTCTTATCCAGTGCCTGAAAGCTTAGTTTAGATAACAAGGGGGTGTGAAGAAACTCATCTAGATAAGTTAGTCTACTTAGGCCTCTGAACGTGGCCTTTGATCATCTGCATGCAGGACTACTCTCCTCAGGGGTGGGGGTAGCAACCATGTTAATTACCCACAAGTGTGCTGACTCAAGGCCTTTGTCATTAAATCTGTACCGAATAAATGCCCACAGTGCTGGCTTGTCAGGGCCACGGCTGCTACAACTCTTTCTGTGAGCGGCCCAGTCCCCTAGCCTGCTCTTTCACTGGAAACCTGTGTCTGAGTGCATTTATTCACCTGTCACTCGGTGAGGGTCTACAGGTCAGACCCGGCAGGTGGTGCCCCGTGTGAGGAACACTGCAACAGATCACGAAGGAACCCTCAAAAATGAAGGTGAAGAGACTGCAGTCAGTAAGTCATTGGCGCCCACTTGAGATTTCCAAGTTCGAGTGAATTTTTCAGGCTAGAGTTTGATCATGGGACAATAGTTACTAGCACAACAGAAGCAGTATATCAAAGTATTGAAACAGCTGCTTAAAGCTAGTGGAGCCTCAGTTTCACAGGCTCAATTAAGGGACCTAATGCAAACTGTTGTTTTCCATAACCTGTGGTTCCCGGAAGAAGGTACCCTAGACGTAGAGTTCAGGGAACAAGTGGGGAGAAATCTTAAACAACATCATGTGCAAGGGCAACGTGTCCCAGTAATATCTCTAACATTATGGGCTTTAGTTAGGGTGGCTCTGGCCCCGTTATACACTGAAGAGCCTACAAAGCGGTGAGAGGAGAAACCGTCACCTACCTTACTACCTCCTTATCCCTCAGCCCTGCTATCACCAGGCCAAAATAACAAAGAGGAAATGGAGGTTTTGCCTAAGCCCCCTCCTCCAATAAATTGGGAAAAGGCACAGGATATTCTACAGTTATGGGACCTTGTCTTAGATAAGCGGCATTAGAAGGGGATTTCTTAGCCTGTCTGGTAATGCAAGATCGACAGGGCAATCAGGTACATGAACCCATTTCTTTTAAAGCTTATGAAGAGCTAAGAAAAAGCATTAAAGAAAAGGAGCCTCTAGCCCATTTATGAAAGGAATTATGGAAGATTTGGCAGACAACTTCTGTATGACCCCATGGGACTGGTCAGTGCTAGCTAAAACAACTTTGGAGCTCAGCCAATACCTCCTCTGGAGGGCAGAATATGATGAGTTGTGGGAACAAGCCAACCAGAATCAATTGGCCAGGCAAGACATAACAGCTGCCATGCTCCAGGGGAGGGGTCCCCATGCCTATGTAAAACAACAACTAAATTTTGATCCCCAGGCCTATGCGCAAGTGCCTTTGTGTGCTCTCAGGGCTTGGGACTGAATTCCCGAAAGCAGAGTTCAACAGGGATCCTTTGTAAATGTTCAACAAGGGCCTCAATAGCCATTTGTTGAATTTATCAATCGGTTAACCCAGGCAAGTAAAAGAAAAAATTAGCCATGCCCAGGCTGCTGATATCTTATTGTTGTAATTGGCTTATGAAAATGCTAATGTGGATTGCCAACGAGCAATGCAGGCAATCAGAGGAGAGAGAGCCACAGTTGGGGAACTTATATGAGCACTAACTGGTGAGGACTGAAACACACAAAGCCAAAATATTGACTGTGGCATTAAGGCCTCCTAAAGTGAAAAAGTTTTCTATGCAGAGTGAAACTGTTTTCTATGCAGAGAGCCAGGTCATGTGAAGAGGGAATGCCCCAATAATAGAGACCAAGGTAATTCAGGAAAAGAACCCCCTTCTATATGCCCCCAATGTAAAAAGCGGAAACATTGGGCAAATCAATGCAGGTCCAAATTTGATAAAAATGGCAACCGCATAAGTAACTGGGCAGGAAACTTCATGAGGGGCTGGCCCCAGGCCCCGCTTCAAACTGGGGCAATGCCAGCGGCTTTCCTTGGTCAGATGGAAAGCCCACAGTCCTCTCTCTCAGAGAAGCCACCACTGGGGCCACAGGACTGGACTTACTCTGCCCCAACGAATTAGTGGTAAAAGGAGGAGAAGACCCTAAAAGGGTTGCAACGGGGATCTGGGGCCCACTGCCTCTGGGAACAGTGGGATTGGTCCTAGGATGATCAAGCCTATCCAGTAAAGGAATTAATGTGCTCACTGGGGTAACTGATAGTGACTATCAAGTTGAGATATTGGTTATGATGGAATGCAAAGGTCTGCATATTCTTCCCCCTGGATCAAAGATAGCTCAGTTACTACTTTTACCATACTGAGTCCCCAGTGCCCATGGAGAGGAAAGGTGAAAGGGAAGTTTTGGAAGCACAGGAGCCACAAAAGTATATTGGAACCAATTAATCACTGACCAGAGACCTACGATTACCTTAAAAATTGGAAATGAAAATTTTACTGCCTTATTGGACACAGGGGTGGAGAGTTCAATCATCAGTGATCAAAACTGGCCAGAAACTTGGCCTTGAGTCACTCAGAAACAAAAAATTGTCAGCATCGGGGAAGCTCACACAGCCAAGCAGAGCGCATGCCCCCTAACCTGTTCTAATTCAGAGGGAAGAAAGGCAGTTATATAGCCTCTAATCATGCCCATCCTTGTTAATCTTTGGTGATGGGACCTATTAGCCCAATTGGGGGGGGTCACTTTGCAGACCCCTTTCTAATAATGGCCACTGTTATTATCCCTCCCCTACCCCTGACACAGCTCTTTCAAGATCTAATTTGGGTAGAACAGTGGCCTTTAAAGGGAGAGAAATTACAAAGGGCCCATGAGTTAGTTGAGGAGCAATTAAAAGCCAGCTATGTGAAACCATTTTTGTCATTCCCAAAAAGTCTGGTAAAAGGAGACTTTCACATATCTTACATGCTATCAATGCTAATTTGCAACCTATGGGGCCCCTTCAGCAGGGGCTCCCCTCCCCACAGCAATTCTTCCATATTGGCCTATAATTGTTATTGACTTAAAAGACTGCTTATATACTATTCCCCTTACAGAACAGGACAGAGAAAAATTTGCGTTTACAATACCAGCAATCAATGACGAAAGGTCAGTTTGCTGATTTCACTCGAAAGTGCTTCCTCAAGGTATGCTAAATAGTCCTACCATGTGTCAGTATCATGTAAATCAAGCTTTGCTTCCCAGTAGAAAAAAAATTCCTAATTGCAAGATTATTCATTTTATGGATATTTTACTAGCAGCCCCAACAGAGCCAGTATTTTTAAGGTTACATGCCTCTGTTGTAAAGAATACACAGTTAAAAGATTTAATCATAGCATCTGAAAAAGTACAAATGTCCTCTCCTTGGAAATATGTTGAGTACATACTAACTTCTCAGTCAGCAAGATCTCAAAAGGTTAAATTAAATACTAGCAACTTACACACCTTAAATGATTATCAGAAATTACTAGGCAGGATTTACTAGCTTTGCCCTACCTTAGGCATAACTACTGATAAGTAATAAAATCTGTTTTCTATCTCAAAAGGCACTGCTGCCCTAGACTCTCCTAGGTATTTAACTCCTTCAGCACAAAGGGAAATTGAAAAGATAGAGCAAGCTATTTCTCAAAGGCAACTAGATCATAGAGATCCATGGTATTCAGTTCAATTGTTTGTTTCTCCCACTAAACACTCTCCTACAGGATGAATAAGACAGATGACCCCAGGGCTGCGCTTCCTAGAATGGGTTTTTTGCTCACATACCAGGACTAGAACACTCTCTCCCTCTATCCAGTTAGTTAGCAAAGTCATCTATTCAGGCCGCAGACAATACAATCTATTGCTAGGTTATGACCATGATGTCACAAAAATTCCTCTTGAGTAAAAACAATTCAAAGCAGTATTGCCCTTATCTATAGACCTGCAGATAGCACTCTGTGATTATACAGGCCATATAGAGCATGCCCTTCTTGCTGACAAACTCCTTCAGTTCTTATCTCGTACTCCTGTGATTTTACCTACAAAAATAGTTCACTCCCCCATACCTAAAGCTTTAACTCTGTTTACTGATGGCTCTGGTAAACATGGAAAAGTGGCTGTTTGGTGGAGACCACATAATTCCCTCACTCATTCTGGATTTACTACCACTCAGAGAGCTGAGGCTGGAGCCTTAATATTGGCCTTGAGAACTTTTTCTGCTCAGCCCATCAATATTGTTAGTCATTCTGCTTACTCTGTTTATTTATTACAAAACCTTGAGACAGCCCTCATTAAGTCCAGTCTAGAGCCCACCCTGTGTGCACTTTTTCTCCGACTTCAGCAATTGCTAGATCAACGTACATATCCTATTTTTATTACTCACATTTGGGCCCACAGCTCACTGCCAGGCACATTGGCTTACGGCAATGATCAAGCAGACCTACATCACTGCTTGACCAAGCCAACCAATCGCATCAATTTTTCCACCCAAACTGGAAAAACGTATCTAAACAATTTCAACTTACCCAGAGACTAGCTAAACAAATTATCCTACAATGCCCAGATTGCCAGCTCACAGGCATGTCCCCTCCTTCAACAGGTGTTAACCCTAGAGGACTAAAAGCTAATCAGTTATGGCAAACAGATGTTACACACATCCCTGAATTTAGAAAACTTAAATATGTACATGTATCAGCTGATACCAATTCTCATTTAATTAGCGCTCATGCTCTTCCTGGAGAGTCCACCCAATATGTCATTAAACATCTTCTTTCAGCTTTTGCATTTATGGGGCAGCTCACAAAAATTAAAACTGATAATGGTCTGGCTTATGCCTGCTCACAATTTCAACAATTTTGTCACATGGGAAACATCCATCACTCCATAGGCATCTCGTATAACCCCCAAGGATAGGCCATAATCAAATGTACCCACTCCACCCTTAAAAATATGCTCAGAAAACAAAAAAGGGGGAATATGAGTAAGGACCCTGCAACACTACTAGCACAAGCCTTATTTACCCTCAAATTTTTAAAATTTATATGATAAATTTCAATCAGCTGTAGAAAAGCACTTTGCTAAAATGTCTCAAGACATAAAACCTGCAGTTTTATGGAAAGATGTAAACAGTAATGTATGGTATTGTCCAAATGAATTGTTAATGTAGGAAAGAGGATATGCTTGTGTTCACACCCCCTCAGGTCCTCTTTGAATTCCAGCACAACGTATCAAACCATACCATGGTGTGGCTGGGACTCAACCCAGTACCAGAAATGAAGAAAAGGACCCTACAGGATCTGCAGCCCCAGACAATGCAGCTTCCTCGGACGACACAAGTCCCGGACATTACACGGGGGATGCTAAAGAGGACAACTCAGAAGGCTGAGCGAATCCTGCTCCAGACACAGACACCAACACCATTCACTCCAGATAATCTGTTCCCTGCTATGCTCTCTATTGTACATTGCAACTCACATACAGTATTGATCCTTTTTATGCTCTTGCTTTGTCTGCAACCTGTACCTGCTATACTCTATTGGGCTCATATCTTAGATCCACCTTTCTTTTGCCCTGTCACCTGGGCAGACACCCCCTTCCCAGCCTCTAATAATGTAACTACTTGGCTAGGAGGGATAGATTTACCCCCAGTAGGGTTCCTCATTAATGGTACACATTGGACTAAGGTGCCAGGTAACACTACATGTCACTCCACTATCCTCCCACTGTGTGTAAGTTATAAAAGTTCTAACCCTTACTGTGTACCTGCCCAAACACAATTATGGCTACATCATGGCAAAGGAAATCCCTTAACAGTCTTAGTTGTAGGCAGCCTCAAACCAGGCAATGCAATCAATGCCACTTTCCCAAACATTTCTCCCTGTGCTAAAAAACAAAGCCAAGAAGGTAGTGGATTCCAGTTTAGCTGGGAGGTCTGTCACAGGGAACAGGCCCATAGCCTCCAGTTAGACAACTATAACATCTTTGACTGGAGCCCCTACAGCCATTTTCAGGGCAATTGTACTGATGTCCATGTCTATCGTGGCATCAGTGACAGTTTCATAGCCACGTCCTGTTCTCTTATTATTTGGGCCAATAGGGAGATGAGATATCCCAGACCCCAAGTAGAGTCCATGCTACCTCAAGAAGCTTTATGGTACCTGGGATATCTTAGCACCCCTCTTAACACCTGGCATGAGACATATCATAATTCCAATCACAGTTATACTAATGAACTTTTTTTCATAATCAAACTGATCAGTGCCTGATTTGTACTACCCATCCTTATGTTTTCCTTATGGGAACCAATATTTCTATTACACCCCAAAACTCCATGTTTGTGACCCAAGTGTAGGGACAGGCTTGGTTTGCTTCTTGTATCTCTAATTATAATATATCTAATTTAAATATTACTAGTGTCATGGTGTTGAGAAGACAATCTGAGCCTTTCCTACCAGTCAATTTAACACGTGATTGGCAACGTTCCTCTGCCCTTGCCATCTTGGAACATGCCCTGTCCCAAATGAGACACAAAAGACTTATAGTTATACTTTTAGCCTTTATAGTCTCAGCCACAGTCATCCTAGCAACTGCTAGTGTTGCTGTAGCATCTATTACTGAATCAGTACAAACAGCTACTTTTGTAGATATTTGGCCAAAAATGTGTCTAATGAACTTCTCTTACAGCAGGATATAGATCAAAAGATTCTTGCATGTCTGCAAGCCCTCAAGGCTGCCTTGGAATATGTGGGGGAGCAACAAGATGCACTGGTATTCTGACAGCAATTAAACTGCAACTGGGAACAAAAACATTTCTGTGTCACTTCTCTACCACGAAATCAATCAATACATAGTTCAGATGAGGTGAAACAACACCTCTGGGGAACCTTTCATGACAATTTAACAGCAGACATAAAGCCACTTAAAACTAAAATTCTAAAATCCCTAAACACCATAGATCTACATGCCCAACAATCAGCCATATGGAAGGGTGTAGGAGATCATCTCTCCTGGATAGACCCCCACTCCTGGGGGGAGTCACTCCTTGATTGGAAAAGACTGTTGCTAATTATTCTCATGTTTGTCTTACATTATTTACTAATTCTAGGATGCAAAGCTGGAGTATGAGTTATAACTGCCGTGCCTAACAAACCTGTTGCTGCACACATCTGTATTCTTCAATCAACAAAACCTGATGCTAAAAACAGAAAAGGGGGAGACGGAGGAGATTGGTCAGGGTGGTGGGAAAAATTGTAGAAAGATGCAAACCTTCTTGGAAGGCCAGGAGGTTTTACAAAGGCTTTAGAAAACGATTTGGCTGAAGGCAGCCAGATTGTCTTATCCAGTGCTTGAAAGCTTAGTTTAGATAACAAGGAAGTGTAAAGAAACTCATCTAGATAAGTTAGTCTACTTAGGCCTCTGAACGTGGCCTTTGATCATCCACATGCAGGACTACTCTCTTCAGGGGTGGGGGTAGCAACCATGTTAATTACCCACAAGTGTGTTGACTCAAGGCCTTTGTCATTAAATCTGTACCGAATAAATGCCCACAGTGCTGGCTTGTCAGGGCCACGGCTGCTACAACTCTTTCTGTGAGTGGTCCAGTCTCCTAGCCTGCTCTTTCACTGGAAACCTGTGTCTGAGTGCATTTATTCATCTGTCGCTCCGTCAGGGTCTGCAAGTCGGGCCCGGCAGCTACATACATTCACTGAACTGTGCGAGTATTATTTGTGCACTTTTAGGTATGTATGTTTTCCTTCAATAATATTTACACTTTCCAAAATGTCAATGAACATCACCTCTCCTAGGATGCTATTTCTGTGATATCTTTTTCTATCTTAGGTGACCCTCCCATCTGTAGCCTCCTTGTACCTAAACTATTGGAGTTACTTAAAAGCAAGAGACAATATTTTTTTTCCTTAATTTATCACCAGCAACCAGAAAAATTCTGCCTATTAATTTAGGCTCAATAAATCTATGCTTAATTGAAGACAGAATTAATAATTGAATGACAGATATGTTAGATCTGCATAATCAAATATGAGTACCAAGAAGAATAAGACAATTAAAAATTTCTGACAACTATGATCTTAAGGAGATAAGAAGATTCCTTAATTTAAATAGAAATTTCTAGTTAGGATGTGGATACTGATCATCATTATTTCATATCCCACACATTTTAAATTATTAATATTGACATTAAATTATGGAGGCTACTTGCCTGGAATTTATCTTATTCTTGAATTTTCATTAAAAACAGCTACTAGTCCCAGAAATGTGGTCAAACAGTATTTAGTAATTTATAAATAGAAACTTTCTGATAACAGTATATTGGGATTTATTTATTCTCTGAATACTTATGGAGCTGCTTTTATTTGAGAGCATATTCTATATTCTGAAGATAAACATGTAAAGAAAGTGAGTTCCTTTCCTCAAGGAACTTACTGGTGGGAAGATAGAAATGCATATGTAATAAATTTCATGCTAAGATTTACACAGAATGCTGGTGAACGTTTTAGAAGCCATATCTCAGATAAGAAAAAGCCCAGCCCTCAAACTTCTCTAGGGCTAGATAAGCTCATGTCTTCAAAACAAGTGCTCTCTTTATGTCAGAGATTTGTCTTCATGTGAGTTTTGATGTTCTATCCTCCAAGGTCATCAGACCAGGGAGCTAGTGGGAAAAGTAGATTTTGGATCTGAGGATACAGGATAGTCAGAGCTATTTGAGAGTCATGAGTGTCTCATATTTCCTATGAAGTTGAAGGCAGAGATAGAGTCTATCACTTACAGATTTTTTTTATGTTGCAGATACTCAATCCATATTTGTTTATTTGTGAAATCAGGGATGTGGTTGTAATCTCTGGTTTCATCTCTGATATGTAAAGATCCTATTAGTCATCTCTCTCATCTTTAAAACAAGAAAAAGCTGGACAAATTGAAAATCAATTACTTTTTCTCAAGCCCATTGGAGAACCACTACCCTGAAATAAAGGAGAGAGAGAGATCCAGAGAGACATCTGAGATCTGTGTACCTGGAGCAGAAGCAGCTGGAGCATAAATTTGTATAAATACTTAAATGGTAACTTTGATAAATTGCTAAATTATTTGATAAAATGTTAAGATAGACTGGGTGCTGTAGTTTTGTAGGTGGTCTATATTTGCATGAGCTTTATCTTCAGGAAGATATATGAAACATCCCCTTGTGACTCTGGCAAGTAAGAGGAAAAGTAACCATTGTGAAATACACCCAGAGTCTTCTCCATAACAAAAGCCTATTGTGAAGAAAAAAGGATTTTGCTGGAATGTTATCCCACGTGGGGGAAAAATTTCTTATACTCCAGTCCCCTCCAACCTTCTTGTCTCAGCTAATGAACAAAAAAACAAAAAAGAAAATAAATCAAAACCAAGTCAATAGGTCAGTAATTTAAAGAAAAAGATTAAAAACACTGGAAAATGCTGCAGCTAGGCAAGGTAGTTAAGAGGCAGAGGAATACAAACATTTGTGAAGGTCACAGCCCTGAGACACAGGCTCACGAAAAGTTAGAGATTTAGCCCCAAGATTATAGAATACACCCCCTTCTCCATGACTTAACAATACACCAACAGGATTTCAGTATAATAAAATGGATCACAACTGAAAAAGCTGTAAGACACATGCTCTCTCTGTGGAGGAGCACTTAGGCAAGCTCAAAATAAAGACGGGTGGCCAAAAAATGACACTGGGGGAACTTGAAGACTCTGGCACCTATAGCTACAGCAACACTGAACACAGCATAACTCATAACCAGATTAACATAAATTCTTATACTAAAAGCTTATTTATTTAGTTCCTATGACTTGATAAAACATATCCAGCTTTTGGCTGGGTGCAGTGGCTCACACCTGTAATCGCAGCACTTTGGGAGGCTGAGGCGGGCGGATCACCTGAGGTCAGGACTTTGAGACCAGCCTGGCCAACATGGTGAAACCCCGTCTCTACTAAAAATACAAAAATTAGCCAGGCATGGTGGTGGGCACCTGTAATCCCAGCTACTCAGGAGGTGGAAGTACAAGAATCACTTGAACCTGGGAGGCAGAGGCTGCTGTCAGCCAAGATTGTGCCACTGCACTCCAGCCAGGGTGACAGAGTGAGACTCCATCTTAAAAAAAAAAAAAAAAAAAAAAGGAAAAAAGAAAAAGAGAAAAATGAAAAATAAAACATATCCAGCTTTTGATGTGAAATTATAAGACATGCCAAAAGGTGGGGGAAAAAAAAACAGAATCTGAAGAGACAAAGTAATCATCATCACTCAGATAGGATACAGATTTTTGAAATTAGACTGAGAATTTAAAAATAATTATGATATGTTAAAGGCTTTGGCGGAAAAAGTGGTCAAAAAGAAAGAACAGATGGGTAATGTAAGCAGATACTCAAAAATCAAAAGGAAACAGTCACAAAACACTGTGACTGAAAGGAAGAATGCCTCTAATGGGCTTATCAGTAGACTCAATATAGGTGAGAAAAGAAACAATGAGGTTGGTGATAAGTGACATCCAAGATCTTTGGGACTATTTCAAAAGCTGCAACATACACATAATTGCAATAACAGAAGACGGAGAAGAGAAAAAGAATGGAGCAGAATAAAAATTTGAAATAACAATTGTGGCCGGGCATGGTGGCTCATGCTGTAATCCCAGCACTTTGGGATGCTGAGGTGGGTGGATCACTTGAGGTCAGGAGTTCGAGACCAGCCTGGCCAACATGATAAAACCCCATCTCTACTAAATATACAAAAATTAGTAGGCATGGTGGCACATGCCTGTAATTCCAGCTACTTGGGAGGCTGAGGCACAAGAAGAGCTTGAACCCAGGAGGTGGAGGTTGCAGTGAGTCAAGATCATGACACTGCACTCCAGCCTGGGTGACAGAGCAAGAGTTGGTTTCAAAAAAAAAAAAATAAAAGAAATATTGGCCAAGGATTTTCCAAAGTTAATGACTATCTCCAAACCACAGATCCAGCAAGCTTAGAAAACAAAAAACAGGTATATACTAAATAACAGCAAAAAATCTATACACCTAGCTATATCATGTTCTAAGTGAAAAACAACAACAAAACCACATGCAAAAAAAAAAAAAAAAAAGACAAAGAAGCCATAGGGAAAGAAAATCAGACTAAAGGGGAAAGGGATAGGAATTACAGCTGACTTCTTGTCAGAAACTACACAAGCAAGAAAAGGGTGGAGTGAAATCATTAAAATGTTGAAAGATATGTTCATGTGACAGTGGAGCTGTACATTTAATATTAACAATAATAACCTGGAGAACTAATTAAAAATTCAGAAAGCTTTCCCCAGCCTCAGAAAATCCTAACTGGGGGCCTCTCACATAGGTCCTGGAGAGGTGCATCTCAAAAGGTAACTCAAGATGATTCTGGCCAAAGGGGTTCATAAATCGCATTTTAAGAAACACAAACCATGTTATAAAGCAGGTTCCAAGATAGGATGAGACATGCAAGGACCTTATTAGGGAAAAGCCGGAGAGACAAAATGAAGAGGAAGCCATGGAAGTTTGAGAGAGACGTCAGACCACCATGCAAGCCTCACCCCGGGTGAAGGAGAAAGCAAAAAAAGGTTGTGTACGAGTGTCCTAGAATGCCATGTATTCTACAGAAAATCCAATCAGGTTGTTGGGGAGTTGCTGGGACCAAGTAGGCTATCACAGGAGTCTCCTGTCTCCTGGGAACAGGCCAACATCAGTGTGCTAGTTGCATGCTGTCTGTAGCCTGAGGCAGCCCAGGGAAAGTGTGGCCTCAGTGCAAATGCTGTGATGGAATTCAGCACATAACAGCTGTAGTTGGTGGTCTATAAGGTGAATTTTCATGGCTGTCAGAGTACCAAATGGAAATTATTATTTTATGTTAAATTTTTATAATTCAATAACATCCTCAAGAAGTAATTAAATCTCAGGCATGTTATATAGTTTTCCAGTGATCACATAAATAGTACATGGAGGATTAAAACTTAGATTTTCTTACTCTTAGGCCAGGATTTATTATTTTCAATACTAGCACTATTTTTACTGCACAGAGAAAATCAAATTAAAGTAAAGCATTTAGCAAAATTTTAATATGGCCGGTCTATGGGTGAGCAAGGAAACATAATTGTCAGAATCACTTAATTCTTTTCAATTACTGAGACAGTCATTTCCAAAGTAAACCAGGAAATTAATTTTAAAGAAAAATATCTGCTAACTTTTAGTGATAGTTTCTTGGCACCAAATCTACTCTTCTATACTCTGTTTTGTGATAATGAGAATTATGAAAACCACTTTTCCATTTGGGCATCTGGATTCCTGTTAGACTTTTTCAGTAGGAGGCACTAGGGTTGTCTACACTGCTGGAGGAAGAAGAAGAGGCTTGCTGTGTCATGTCTGTTTCCTGCAGGCTCTATGCTTCTTCTTTCCTGTATCCTGTTTCTGTGAGTGTCAGCCCACCTATGATTCTTTCCCTCAATAGTAAAGCAGGTCCTGACTGTAACAGCAGCTGAATCAAGACTGCACATTTTTTTACACTTGTAGACCGACCCTCCCTCTCTAGCAGTACGGCCAGCCAGTGCCTCCTTCTCAGAAGTGGAAAAGGCCGGGTCCCAGTCCTGGGAGCTCTTCCTCTGAGCTCAGAGACACCAGCACAAGATGAGCAGCTCCTTCTCCTCAGAAGGCTGAGTTTCTACTCCACAGGGCTTCTCCTCTAAGCTTCCATGTTGTTATAATTCCAGACTTTTCCTTTCTTTTTGTAGCCCTAGAAATGGAGGCTTTGTCCTGCAATACTATCTCCGTTACACCTTAGTATTCTTTTCTGGTCTTTTGAGTTCTTTATTAAACCATTTTATACTCAGTGAACAATCCTTGCATTGAGTAATTTCTGTTTAAGTAATAGGTATATTTTTTGTCCCTTGATTGGACCCTGAGTGATAGGAAGGAAGAAATGAAAGAACAGATAATCCAATGCTTCTGATATATAATCTATTATTAGATTATATCTGGGTTAGAATTATAAGCAAGATATGTTCCAAGCACAAATAGGCATTAGTTGAAGTCTAAGAAATAGATTCACAATGATTCAGAAAAAGTTTTCTGAATATGTAGGTACAATAAGTCTGATGTAAAACATTTACTTAGAAATGAATAAGCTTTGTTGACTGCCAGTTTCCCACTTCTCAGGGCTGTTTTTTTTTTTTTTCTCTCTCCCTCTGAATTTAAAGTAATAATCCTCCAGATAATCTGTACCAGTGATTCTCAATGACTCTGGGAGAAATGTAATAGAAAGTGGGTTTAAATCATGTATTGCAAAACACATATAGAGTTGAAATTTATTGTCCAAATTGTATTAGTCTTGTTTTCACACTGCTATAATGAACTACCTGAGACTAGGTAATTCATAAAGAAAAGAGGTTTAATGGACACACAGTTCTACATGGCTGGGGAGGCCTCAGGAAACTTACAATCATGGCAGAAGGCAAAGAGAAGAAAAGTATATCTTACGTAGCAGCAGGGGGTGGTGGGGGAACTTCCACACACTTTTAAACCATTAGATCTCAGGAGAACTCACTAACAGGAGCACAGCAAGGGGAAACAACCCGTATGATCCAATCACCTCCCACCAGGTCCCTCCCTTGACACATGAGGATTACAATTCAAGATGAGATTTGGGTGGAACATGAAGCCAAATCACATCAAAATTTTCTCCATACATGGAATCAGATCTGGTAGAAACCTGGCTACCCTCCACATTACTGATGTGTTACAATGGCATCAGTAGACACACAAGAGCGTTCTCACAAACAGGCTTACGAATTTGTGCTATTTATTATGAAATGTGGCATAGGATAGATTTTATTATGGTAGTTGGATTAGTCACGATAGCCTAGCTTTGCAGCAGTAACAGGCATAAAAGTTTATTTTTCACTCACATAGTATTTATTGTGGGGTCAGTGGTTCTGTAAGGAATTTATTTTCAGTGACTCAGAGATCTAAGTTACTTTCCCTCCTGTGATTTCATGATCTCTTTCTCCATGACAGCAAAAGAGAAAGCGAGAGAGTTTCAATGTAGTTCTTTAGTGATTCAACCCATCAGAGAGACATATCACTTCCAATCACAGCCATCTGTCAGATAATGTATTCACACCATCCAGTCTAACTTAAAGGTAGTGGAAAAAGTGGAGGGAACACATTGATATTCAATGACCAGTAAACGCCTCTGCTACATTAGTCATCATTGACTCACCATAAGATGCGTGATTCTGCCGTAGTGATGAATTTCAGGATCTGTAGAAATCTTAGGGCATATACTTCTTAAATGTCAAAGGTCTACTGAAAAGAGAGGAGGGATTTTTGTCATGAGTAGGAGAGTTGTTGAAAAAGAAGGGCCTTTCTCACCAAACCCATTTTATTTTCTAATCGGACAATCTTACAATGACAGATATTTTTCCACACCTAAATTATTAGCACTCTAGCAGATGTTGCCAAAAAAGGTTTAATTTTAAGCTGTAAAATACAACTATAGCATTGCATTAGATGTGACAATTAAAATGCATCTGGGTGATGCAATGAAACTTTCACAATGATCTTAATGAGAGCTGAGGTCATACATGAAGCCTGATTTCTCATGTGTGGTGTAATTGTACAAAAGTATTGTTAAAAAAAATCCTAAACGTGGCAGTTTTTCAGAGGAGACAATTGTGAGGTTTCAGACATTTTATCAAAACAACAGCCATAAATAAAACACCCCACTTCTTAGCAAGCAGTGTTAGTTGAATGACTTTCACAAATGTTTGCTTGTTCCCCTTAGAAGGTCATTCTTTTAAATAGTGCTATTGACAATCACACTCATTCTGGAACATGTATGATAAATTTAGGGCAGATTAATTTCAGGAGAAGCACTCTCACAGATAAGGAGCTAATAGATGGGGAGTATAGTTGACTATAATATACAGTCAAGTGCCGGGCTGTGTATAAAATTAAGCAGTATTTCTTTTGTGAAGTGCTCACACTTTGAATTGATTTTTGTCATTGGTTGGGTTTCACAAGACCCCTGTGTTCCAATATTTCTTTTACTTTTCATCAGGCATAAGAGCTCTGTGTGCCCATAGCAAACAGTCATTGTTTTCATTTGTAGCAAATTACTAAGATAAAAATGCAATTAATTGCCCTCTGGATCTCTGCTTACTATGCTGTAAATTAAACTAAATGACAGAGTTGCAACTATTAGAACCGGAAAGAACCTCATGGTTATCTATCTCCTGCTCAGTTTTTTCATTTAACCAATGAGAAAACAGCCCCTGATGAAATGACCTGGCTTGCAGCTTGGCTGGTCACTTAGCCTGCACTTACTATCCTTATTGTAAGAACTCTTTTCTTGCATAATTCTCAGAATTGCTGTAAGAATCAAATTAACTACTGTATGCAATTTTTTGAAAACAGTAAAACTCAATAACAGTAATGATTATAAAGATAGCATTTACTGAGCAGCTAGTATGAACCGGGCAATACGATTTACATATATGACCTCACAAATCATTATAACCCTATCAGGAAGGTACACTTATTATTTCAGTTAAAAAATAAACAGGGTCGGAGATTTCTCGGGCATAAGCTAGCCAGTAGGGGAGCTGGGAGTTAGGGGAGGGATTTCAACAGTACACGGAAGGATTCACAGCCCGTTTTGAAACGGAGCCCATACTGCACCACAATGTTCTTACTCACAGTACAAGGTTTTCCCAGTTATAAATTTGTTTCATAGAGTTTTTTAGAAGCTGAAAAACATTGAAACTGCCTATTCCTTTCTAGGCTTAATTTTGATGCATTTACACCTTTCGTGTTGAAGTTTTAACAAGGAATGGAAAATAAGCAGCTTTCCGACAGTACCATAGATATTTTCAGCTCACCCCTTGGTTTCCTATTTGCCGCATGTTTTGCCAATGGAGCCTCGAAGTGTCCAGTGCTATCATATCCACATAAATCTCTCATCACTCTGCGTTCTGCTTCCTTGTTGCCATAAGCAGGAAGCTGTAAACACTACGTCAGGAATGCAGACGATAACCCAATGATCATGGAATGGCGTCTGCGCATGTGCCGTTGTGTACATGTGCCCGGCAATGTTAAAATGCTGCCACCTTCTGTTTAGCCCAGGTGCTGCTGATGCAACCCACCGCTTCCCCTGTCCTCTAAGCTGATTTGTACTGATCCTGAATTGTACTTCTGCAATATATAATATGACAAGGAAAATGCAAAGCCTGCCAAAAAATCTTGATAGTCCCAGCTTTTGTACTGCAGCACTTGAGAAGACCATTCCTACTGCCGTCCCACTAAAGTGCACTCAATATTTCTGACAGTAAATTATCACAGCAGGAGTTTATCTCAGCATTCATGTGGTGTTTTAACCATTTAAGGATTCAAGAGGGGAAAGTTAAACAGGGTGGGGCTAATGTTCAATTGTTCGGGTGGTCGTGGGTTACACTCAGGTTTCCTGAATGTTGCAAGGGGTCTAGGTTTATTCTCGGGTGCGTTTTCTGCTGAGACACTCACAAGAAATGAAACAGACTGGGCAGGATCATCAATTTGTGAGGGAAGAACACCAGCACCTGCACTGTTGTCCAACTGTAGGAGTTGCACTGAAGGGTTAGTGTGTACCTGACCCCACCAAGCTGGGACTCTGGCAGCTGGCACATCAAGGACAATCACCTCTTTCTTATCAGCAGTAAGCTATTTTTCCCCCAGGACAGGAAGCTTATAACAGTTACTGACACCATAGAGTGATTCCCTAGATCTGGAACTTGCCAGCCTAAAACACTAGCCCGAGACTCTCCCCATAAAATGAGAACAGGGTTGCATTTTATCTCAGTCCCACAGCACTACCAAATTAGCTTTGCCCAGGACCATTTTAATAACTAGCACATGACCACCCCATCCATGTGTGTACACTTAGGTCTGGAGAGTAGGGTCTCCTTATATCATTAAAATACCAGGATTGTTTAGTAAAGCTGGAAAGCAGGAATGGAAAATAGTTTTAGAGGCCAAAACTGTCTAGTTAAGTGCTTGTTGACCAAATTTTTATTGCCTAAGAACCTTATGCCTTATATACCTATGATTACACTCAAATCCTCTCTTGAGTCTGAAATGTATGTATATATACATATTATTATATTATATATACACATTATGTTATATATACACAATATATATTATACATACACATTATAATATATATACACATACACATGAGAGTCAAAGGAATCTGGTTTTACATCTTGTTATTGGATACAAGAAACAAATAAAATATATATTATTTCCTTCTAAATTGGAAGCTATTTTTTTTAAATGCCTAATTTCTCAATTTTTCTTGCCAGTACAAATAATATTCTTAATTCCCTTATTTACTTCACATATGCATCATTTTTCTAGAAATGCTTCTCTATATTTTAAGAGCTTTGCTTATATTAGATGCTTAACATCAGTTGAAGACAATCTTACTGCTCTTGGACTTTATAAATCCTGAAACTAATTACTAATTTAATAGCAAATAATTTCCAACATAGATGAACAAGCCAGATTTTCATAGTTTTAAGAAAGAATTCTGTGTCCAGGGAAAATTAATATGTAAGTATAAGGATTCTATGTAACCACCCATATAGACAGCAGTCCTCTCCCAGCCCTGGTTGAAATGATGTCAGCAGAGAGCTTCCTGCAGGGCAATCTCTGTACTTTTCAGTATGGTCCAGAGCCAGGCACCTACAATGAGTCAGACACCGAAAACGACCCTGACTTAGTAAATCTCAGGTGGGTCTAATGTAACAACAATTCAGGTAAGGACAATTTCCACACTCTTTGCTACCCAGACTCCCGTGCCTTTTAGTAAAATTTACATCTTCAATTTTTTTGAGTTGATCAAATACAAGCATGACTTCCCAGTGCTCTGATTTACTCACATATTCTTTAACAACAAACTGCTTTCTCCTGATAACTGAGCTTCATAATATCATTCCATTTAATATTTATAAATAAATATTTATTTACTATGTATTTACATGATTAGATATATACTTATAACATATGTATTTAATCTGTGTCCTCAGAATCACACAACCTGGAACTCTAGTACCTTTTTGACAATCTTGCACTGTATCTAAATGATACAATTAAAAGGGAGCTGAGAAAGACATATTATTTGTCAGATTTGCCAAGGCAGGAAGGAATGAATTTCCTTTAAATCAGATTCAGAGAAACGAGTTGTTTTAAAGCTAAATTGGGCAAGGGAGATCTTGATCCCTTTGGTAAATATTAGCACTTTGGTAAATATTCTTAACAGACATCCATCCAATGCCATAATTATTGAAGAAACTGCAGTGCAGAGAATGACTTGGCCAAGATGAGAGAGCTAGTTTAGTTAGAAATAAACCTAGAACCAAGTCTACTGGCTGACACCCCCGCTCTCTTTCAACTGCATCATCAATTCTCATGTTGGAGTGCATAAGAGTCACCTATGGAATATGGTTCCAAGGTCGACACAAGCCCACACTAAGGGAGTGAGGGTCCTTAGGTCTCACATGGACTCTACCAATCTGTATTTTTAATGAGTTCTCTAGGTGATCATGATGCAGGTTGCCTGAGCATGATTCTTTGAGAAAAGCTATATTACTTCATGCAGTAGCTTCCTATTTATTTTTATAGAAAGATTTCTGGACTCTTAACTGAGACATTATCCAAATGTCTAATCAAGGGCTCACCAAGTTGAATGGGCTAATATAAGAGTTAGTCTCCTCCCTGTTCCTCTACACCCAGACTATTTAGGCTTATTTATGGGTAGAAGAATTGGTTAACAACAATAAGAAAAAGCCTAAATTTCACCTGTGTTCAATTCCGACCTACATACTCACCCACAGCCTCTTCCTAGTAGGACAAGATCTAGCCAACGCCTCCCTTTTCTCATTGGTCTCTCTGAAAACTTTAAACCTTCAAGAAAAATTACAAATATTTTCTTTCTACAGAGCGTTCTCATTTCTAAATCAATCTAAACACTTTGGTAAATATTCTTAACAGACATCCATCCAAGGTTCCTCTTATCAGGGTCATAAAAAAGTGCAGATGACGAAACAGAGAAATTGGATTAAATTACAGGAATGGACTCAATGGAGTCACAATTGGAGGTTTTGTCGATTCTGGAGGCCCTGCTACTTTCCTGCTGCATTATCTCTCCCATAAAGTACCAGGAAAGAATTAACTAAATCATAAAAACCATTATGTTCTTTAGCCACTGGCAGACTTTCTTCCACTAGAATTGAACTCCCAGATATGAGGCAAAGCACAGCTGAATAGGAGCTACCTGAATGTCTGCCCCTTTCTCCCACCCCCAGCAAGCTGCAGGCGCCAGACAAGACAGATAAAAGTAAAATAGATGCACTTCTTTTTCTTTCTGTGGCAGACAAGGAGCTGTGGCTAGCCTCTCCATTAAAAGTCAGAGAAAAGGTAGATTCGTCCTATTTGATTAAGACTGTCACCGTCCACAGTCGTTGCAATTAGTCCATGCCAGCCTTATTCAGACCTTGGATTCTTTTCAGAAGTGAAAAAGGGAACACTCAAGGTCTATTGAATCGGAGCGTGGCATCTGCCTCACACCGAGGGGAGAGGTCGGGGTCACTGCTTGATTTTGATAAAGCGTGCCAGATTAATTGTCTTCGGTAATCCTGTTTGTCATGGTAGATATGCAGAAGAGTCTTTGTGGCACAGGCTGACATATGGGCCGGCCTGCTGCTTGCCTATTCAGGGTTCCCAACACATGCTCTCTGCAGTTGGACTGGTTCCCAGAACCTTGTTCGCCAGAAGAGGCCTCCTGCTCCTATTAAGCAGGCCCCATCTCCACCACCAGGCTTCCTAATCTTCAAGCCTGCCTGGGCTATTGAAAGAGGCTGCATTATTCAAAAGAGGCCTAAAGAGAAAAGGGGAGAGAAGGGGGCTGGGGAGGAAAGAGAGAAGGGGAGCAAGGGGGAGGGAGAAATGCAGGCACCAGAGATAGGAGTGAAAGACTCTCCAGACTGGGGAAGGGGGTGGGGACAGAAAAATATAATTACAAAAAATAGCAGCCATGTCCTTCAGGCAGAGCACTTCAGGAGGCTGATTATAGCTCCTCTCCAAATCCGAATCTATCACCAAATTATACCCTGCCTCTTTTGTAAAATAAATGTTAATAAGAGGTAATTTGGGCCCTGCTGATTGTTAAACTCAACGGAGATAGAATTTTTTTTCTTCCTCTGTGTGTGTTTATTGTAATATCTGGAGGGCTTTTTTTTTTCTCTTCTTCCAACAAGAATTTATATTCAACCACAAAAGAGGAAACAAACATTCATTGGCCTGACACAACTGCCAGAAAACCGAGAATGGTTTGAGTTTTACAATAAAGAGTGAATGTATAGACTGGTAACTGGCCCTTAACTCCACTACAACTTTGCAGTTGGTGTTCTCTGGAAGGAATATCCCCTAGAACTGAGAAGAGAGTGGCGCTCCAGGAAGAAGGAGGCTGCCAGGGGGAGGAGTGATCCTTGCTCTAAATAGCTTTGCCTTTCTTTGGTTAAAAGCAGGACTTTTTTTTTCATTTACATAATCATTATTTTGAGTTGCTGCCAATTCTTTTGGGGGCTTTTACATTTAAAAGCACAAAAAATAGAGAATCCTGTGACAGATCTTTTGAAAATGTTCTTACAATGTGTATTTACGAACAGATCCAGAAATGGAGCAATTAGAAACAATGAATGATAATCTTCTAGGCAGACAAAAGCATGGATGTATTAAAATATAAATCCTTGATCATAACAGCCCTGAAGCAGTCCTTCATGTATCTTTACTGTGTGCTCCTCACAGCCACAGGGCAGAGATCGGGTGTCCGACTGGGCCCAGGCGCTGTGGCCGTCAAGGTCAGTAATGTCTGACCACAGAGGGCTTGGTCTCCAGTTGTTTTTGTTTCTTACACAAATGCTTTGAACATGATTTATTCTGATAATTGTATAATAAGAAACAACATCATTATCTATCATTAGTTTCAAGGAGGACATAACAGATTTTCAAAATTAAAACTAAAAACTGAACTAAGAAGACATCATTCAATTATTTCTTTATTCTAGATATTAAAATGAAAAGCTTGTGTTTTGGGTTTTGGTTTTGTCACCCTCCTCAAATAGGTAACTACAATATACTTTTTGGTTTGGGGGGATATATATTTCCACATTTATTTCCTACAATGAAACAGTCACTGGGCTCAGAGCTGGGCGTGTCACAGGGATAGCAAAAAAGAGTCCCTGTGTTTGCAGAGTTTATGTTCTGTGAGGGTTCACTCTTGTTTCATCAGTGCATAAAACAGTGCCAGGCATATTCTGTTAACTCATTAAATTTTATTCATTCAAAAATTTTTAAAAAATAAATAAATAACAAAAACCAAACCAAAGCAAAAAAAACTTGACATATCTAAGGTAAGCAACTTGGCTTAACTTATGCATTACATTATAAAGAACCCGAAGAAGCAGAAAGGGAAGAAGAAAAAGAGTAGAACAAAGAGAAATAAATTAACATTTTTGAGTACATAGTCTATGCTAGGTATGTGCCATGTGCTTTAAAAGCATTATCTCCTGTAATCTTTAAAAGAGCCTTGTGGAAGGGGAGAGGAGACATTCTGCTAGTGCCCTCTGGTGCCTTCGTATTAGTTGTATGATTAAAGTCACCTGATTACTCCTTAAAATTGGTTGTAGCTGATGGCCAAGCATGGTTCACTTCTGCGGGTGAGGCCAGGGCCTTAGTAGTGTTTAAGGCTTCCCAGGTGATTCTAATGAGCATCCAAGAATGAGAATCACTGATTTTAACTTGTGTTTCTCAAATGTTATTCATACCCACCTGGGAACATTGTTAGGTTGATTTTTGGCGGGTCCTAGGATTCTATAGTTCTAACAAGTGCCCAGGTGATGCTGATATTGGCTGGTTTCTGAACCTCCTTTTGAGTTGCAAGGCTTTAAAGAGATTGGGCAATCTGCCCAATGGCTGGCCCGAATTTCAAACCCTGGCTTTCCCAACTGAAGATCCTGAGCTCTCGAGTTCTGTGATTTCACTGTGTCTCCTACAGATTTAAATCAAGCATTATGAAGCACCGTGTGATAGGGAGAACATTCATCTGCAGGTCAGGAAGTCTGGAGCTTCATTATAGTTCTACTGCCCCTAACTTTGGGTCTTGCCTCCCTGAGTTTCAGGTTTTTTCTCTCTAACATATAGGGTTTGGAATTGATTGTAGTTGCTGTCCTTGGATTCTCCACATCACCAGTTAAATGGTGTGTCTGAGATCAGACCTTTCCTATAGGGAAAAATGTCACTTTAGGCAAAGCCAGTAACCTTCCTTCCTCCCTTCCTTCCTTCCAGCCACTCATGCTGTGGGTTGTCCATAGACAGACTGGTCAGGAGGATGGAGAACTGTCGCTTTATGCCTTTCTGCCTGCCTGCCTCCCTCCCTCCCTCCCTTCCTCCCTTCTTCCCTTCCTTCGAGTGTATGTGTTTCATTATCTGTTTGCTAAGGTGTGAAAGAAAGAAAGAAAGAAAGATAAATAGAGGAAGCATTGGTGCTATTGAAAAGGGTCCTGTTGGATATCATCTCCAGAACAATCCCATATATCTCTTCCTTCCCTTTTCCGTATTTTTTATACTACTGCTACTACTTGGGCATTTATTCATCAAAGGAAACAGATTCAAGGGGAAATCACTGAGGATATTATTTACACTTTAACATGATATGTGCTTCCAGAATGCTTTGAGGCAATTTGGATAGGGGTTGGAGAAAGGACGAACATACAAATCAGGGCACTACGAAGCAAGAGGTACAATACCTAGATGGCTGAAGCACATAGAAAACTGATTCAGGAAGAGATAAATAGCATACCTTACTGTCCTTCCAGGTGGGATTTCTGGGGAGATCTGTTTCAGAGTCTTACAGCTTTTCAGAGATTGGCACTGGGAGATTTCCCCTGAAGAGAATGGAAAACGACCAACATTTAACTAGCATCTTCTTCCGTCACGTTGGGATGCCCTGAGCCAAACCCCTTTAAACCTGCGTGATTAGGCTCGGTGGGAGCCAGGTGCACTCCTCTGTTCATCAGGAGAACAGAGGCAAATCCTGCCCATCTTCCTCGCATCCATTGTATGCAATTACAACACAAAAGCATACCTGTGAATTCCTAAAATAAGTTGGTGTAGGACCCTTGTCTTCTATACCTGGGCTGTAGGAATGAGGTAGAAACTAGGCTTTGTATATTTCAAGAGAACCATAGACCCAAGTAAGCAACAGTGTCTTTGTTTTATTACTTCTAAATTTACTTTTATTTGACTTATTTATGGCTTCATTTCTTTTCTTTAAATTAGCCAAAAGGCTTCTTTGTGGATTTTCCAGTCAGTTTGACAAGTTCGCCTCAGAAAATGCCTGAAAAATAAGTTGTGGTAAAGCAGCAGCCTTCTATCCTAAACACGCCCTGTCAAACAGACATGTATTTAGACCCAGCTTTCACATGTCACTTTATGTCTACTCCAGATCAAGTTATAGGCTTGCTCACAATGCTTTTGCCAAATTTTACAAGGTCAAAAATTATGTGATGGGGGAAAAACCGCTCAAGGGAAACAGGAGGAGTAAATCATGTTTTATTTAAAGGGTAGCTTTCTTTGAATAAAGCATTATTCCTTTCAAGGCTGTCTCTAATGTTGAAGTTTAAGGAGTCTTGAAGCTTAGAGAAACTTTGCTCATCTATTTAGCCCTCCCCAGTGGGTGAAGGACTCTTATGCCGGTTTTAATGCTTTCTGCCAACTCAATAACACTCAGCCCCCTAATAGCCACTCATGCTGCGGGTTGTCCATAGAGACTGGTCAGGAGGACAGAGAACTGTATCATTCAGCCAGATTACATATATAAGATTTGTACGATGGATTATCCTGAGATAATACTGATAAACAATTATTGCCTCTGCCAAACAATAGCACAAATGGAGACACCACTTGATATCCACCCTCACTCCATGGGATTATTTAAAAGCAGGTTAAGGAAAGAAGTCTTTCTTCTGTCTGTGATGTACATCTCGCTCTAGGGAAAAGACAATGAATCATGTTTAACTATTTTAAAATCTTCTAGGTCTGGGCCTGCCCACCAGCAGTTTCCCAATATGCTTTCACAGTAATCTAGCCTCTTGGAAATGTAAGGACTCTAGAAAGATAAAAAGTAATGGTTTGCCTTATTCTGCTGTGCAACTTTTTTTATCAGGTCTGGAGGTTTCGGGCATTTTTGAGTTATTTAATCCGAGTATGGACTCTTTGCTTCCTATTTTCATTTGTTGCCCTACCTATCCCAAGATCCCTTAGCCATTATCATTAAAACAAATAGTAGAGAATATTATGAGGGGTTATTACCTGCTCAGTTTAATTTCTCACTTTATACCAACTCCAAATTTCACAGGTAGATGCTACCATTTCCTCCACTTCTAGAGGAAGATATTGAGGTTTAGAACAACTTGTTCACGGTCCCACAAGCTACTCTATGGTATTCAGATTTCAAGTCTATTCTTTACCATGGTATAGCTGAGACACAAAGAATCAAATAAGCACTAATAGGACACTTGCAAATATAATGCAAGACACTGGGCATATATAGATACTTAAAATATATATTTAGTCTCTGCCCTCAAAATGCTAGACTCAAAATAGAGCAATATGATAGAAAAATAAAATCTCAAATAATACTACAAAAATTCATTTTAAAATAGGGAAATAAAAGATATTCCCTAAATCACAAGGACATTCTGATAAAATGTCAATAAATGATGTGTCTAAGTACTATCAATTAAGGGAAATAATTTAGAATCTAGGAGCAGAGATAACAGGAACATTGGAGATTCCATTTTGTTGAGTTGAAGGTTCACATTACTCTGTTTATTTTTTCATATAAATATTTAAATATATTGTATCTTTTTTTTTAATTGATCTGGGTATATAGGCTTCTCTGAAGCACTAAAAGCTAAGCTGCTAAGTGAATACCTTGCTAACGGAATTTCCAATGATATAGGCAACTTGTTCTTCTGGGGTAACTGAGTAGAGTCTGATGTGCCAGGTTGTTTGTATAATAGAGTACTGGAGTTTTAGAATTGATTATGAAAAAATACCTAGCACTTGAGATTACGAAAAGGTAGTAATAAACAATATACAATTGGTTTATATGGACTGTGTTACAAGGCATAATTCTAAGAGACTCACGTGTTTCCATCCACTTAAATCCCGTAAGAACTCTTATGATACATAATTCTGGCTGGATTGACTGGGCATTCACCAAAATTGATTTCTTTTCATCCGTGTATATCACAGCCTATCTTGTAATTACCTATGGCTTTTTGACTGACTTTTGACTAATGTAATGTGGATAGATGTGCATCACCTATTTTCAGTCCAGGCCCAGTTACACTTTTCATGCACACTCTGCCAAGCTCTTTCCTATTTCCATCTGGCTGAAATCCAGATGGTTCCCCCCACCACACACACACACACACACACACACACAAACACACACACACACAATGGTGTCTTTGGAATGGACATACCGAAGAAGATGGAGCCACAAGATAGAAGGAGCCCACTTGAAGGAGAGCCATTCAACCTGGAACATACCTTAGAATATAGGGAAATTAAAAAGATTTTTATTTGGTTTAGCCACTGACATTTTGAGATTTACCTCTCATGACACCAAGCCTACCTTACAACATACATTGTTATTATTATTTCTCCCATTTTACAGATGAGAAACTGAGGCTCAGAAAGGTTAGGTAACTTGCTTAGATTCTCTTGGGGAAACCAAGATTGTAACCCAGGCAATCTGACTCCATACCCTAAATACTTACCCATTATACTAAACTGCAACGTAACTAATTATGTTCTTCTTAGATTTGACATTAGTTTCACTTCTGGCTAAAACTAAGTTGGTAATGATAGTGTACAAAATATTCCCTACTATATTTTTAGAATAAACAAGCTTCCTTGAGCCAAAGAAAATTTCAAGCATCAGTTAGGAGTTACAAAAAGGATGCTAATTTTCATTTTTATAACTTTGTCTCTGTAGAGTACTCTGTAGTGCTGAATGTTTGTACTAGTTTTAGGTTTGGGAGCATGTCCTAATATTCAGTCTTATCAACTAAAGGCTGGAGCTTGACATTAGTTTCAAGTAAATGCAATGTTAGCATTCCCCATGAATAGTCAACTCTACTGTTGAGAAAGCTGTATACATTTTGTGAGTTAGAACAGGAAAAAAAAAAAGTGAACCAACCAATATACCAGCCAACAAAGAAAAAAGTTACAAAAATTCATGAAGATGTCATTTTTGTCCTTATTCTGAGGTTCGGTAGTTTTGAAGGGGACGTTCTACTTCTAAAAATAAACACATTGGAGTAGGTTTCTAAACTGTGGTAATAAAGATAACATAGGTGGGATTGCATGTCAAGGTGGAAGGCCAGAGAGTACTGGGGTAGAGATATTAAACTAGTCGTGTAATTTCAAACTTCTTGGTCTTGGCTAGGGAAGATTATCGCATGCCAAACTCTCCACAAACATAAGGGCATTCCCTCGTGCCTCTCCCTCACCCAAACTACTTCTCAATCTCTGCAGTTTATTTTATTTATTTTTCTACAATGGTATTTTCCCTGCCATATTATAAAAGTCCCTTGATGACTGGGGAACTGCTTTTTTATCTCTTACATTGTCTGATGTGGTTTCTTTGCTCAGAATAAGCTGCTCAATACGCATCTCCTAAATCAATGAATATCTTAATGGTCTCTAATGTGAGATAGGATTTAATTCACTGCTTGAGTCCCTCACCATAGATAGCACAGATAGCTAAAATATTTTAGAAATCTACTTTGGTAAGCTAAATATTAATCACTGCTTCCCATATAGCTGATTCTATGCCTAGAGTTTCATTTTAAGTCCATAAGGCATACTGATTATTCAAGGCATGCAAAAAAAAAAAAAAAAAAACCCCAAAAGCCTATACCTTTTAACCATTAAGGTTTCAAATTACTACAGAACAAAATGAAAGGTTGGAAAGGTTGGTACACCATCTCTGAAAGTAAAAGCTAATATAAAATAATTAACAAAAAAATACAAATGCATGCAAAACTGGTTAAATCCAAGTAATAGTTGTAGACTAGTTAATTGTGCTGTGTCAATCAATTTCTTGGTTTGATAATACGCTTTAGTTATGCATGTTACCATTGAGGGGAAGCTGGGTGACAGGCACAAGGGACTTCTCTGCAACGTTTTTGCAACTTCTTGTGAATCATTTCAAAATAGAAAGTTGCAAAAAGTAGGATACAACTCTTATAGTGATAGAAGAAGCCATGAGAAAATATGAGTACCTTTTAAATTTGCAATATTCATTTTGTTAACAAAGGATATTTGGGAAGTTTTGCATTGGGAATCAATATTAAAGCCTCTTATATTTCTGGCTAATTTAGTTCAGTCTAGCCATTCTTTTAAATAATACAGAGTGCCAGGAATTATAAGAAAATATATTTTAATAAGTACTGTTTGTTTTTGACTGCCAAATATGGTATTTATGTAAGAATAATTCATTTCTTCAGATTTTATGCAAACTATGTTGATTTTATAGCTTTCAAACTCATTTAATACTGAGAAATTTGATATTGTTTTTATTGTATTGATGGCAGAGTTTACTGCTCAATGTTTTAAATATGTTCGCACTGATTAAGGTATTAGAGATTCCTGCCATCCCAATGGTAATGTTAGAATCTTTTGTTTGTAATACAATTCATTGAAACGGTATTATACAAAGAGGTTAAATTAATCAAGTAAAATCTTTCATACAAACACACATACACATAGACATACATATACTCACATGCTCACAAATACAAATATCTCAATAACTTAGATGCATCCAATCAGGAAAAGCAACTTCTATTTCATTCTAGAATTCTCAAATAAGCTATTTTATCTTTTTGCTTATAATTTCGTTTGCTTAGATATATCCAGGCCACATTTTTACAAACTTTAGTGAAATTCTGAGGACCATATTAAATAGGATGTCCTTCCATAACTAGATTTTAAAGATAGAAGAGACTTCAGAAATAATAAAATCTAACTGGCTCATTTTATAGAATGAGACAGAGGGTCAGCCATGCCAAGTGGTTTAGCTGCATGGTGTGGATTAAAAAACAGCCTTCTGATTTTCAGAATAGTGTACATTTCACTGTCTGATATTTCCTCATGAGAGACAACGTAGAAAATTCCAAATCTTAGAGATGAAAAGTTCTCTTACAGATGATTCTTCACATTAATTCTGTATATGAGTGGCCCAGTGTTGATATTTATTAACATTGATACATGTTGTGTCTCACTTCTTCCTTTTCTGATTAATCAGACTACAGGAAAAAAAAAAAAAGGAAAATACCTAGGACTTGCTTAGTCTAGAAATGTAGCAAGAAGAAGAGACTTGAGAATTATGTCAAGGTGCTTTTCTCCCCAGTGTCATTGTTCTGTCTTGATGTGGAGAATTGCTCTGTCAAAAAGAATCTTAATGTAATTGTCAGGCCAGAAAACTGCAACAGGCATGTGTTGGCTTTCTGTGATTGGTGAGCTATCTATCGTTTTTATACTTCAAAACTAATTGGCATCTTATGTAATTATTTTATTTGAAATGAGTTATTTATTTATTTATTTTGGAGTCCTTTCTGGATGGCATTTCATATGCATTCAGTTTTGAAAAAGGAGAATTATAAACCTTTTTTAGTCTATAAATATCTGTGCTGTTATTCTGAGCCTTGTTTCGTGACCATCCTCCTTTCCTATATTCTTTATCAGGCACCATTATCCTCTGTCATAAAAATTTCCTCATTATATACAATTTCCTTTATATTCGAGGAGGCAACTTTGGCCCTTGCTAAGATTTAAGGGGCATTTTAGTTTTACCTACAACATGTTTTTCAAATTGTTTCTTAGCTTATTTGTTAGTCTTGTTTTTTGGTAACATTTAAATAAATAGTTATTCTAGTTTAATATGATGATTTTATGGGGCTGACTTTTGTCAGGTAATCTAATCCTTTTTCCTTACACAAAGGAATTACATTTTACTTGGATACTTTGCACTTGCCAGCATTAGTTAGAAACGAGAATATTATTTTTAATGTACTAAAGAAATGAGAAGAGGCCTCAGTGGCTACTTCCTCTTCCAGATAAAAATTCCCAAACCAGGATTTCACAAAGATGATTTCCATGTAAAAATTAAAGAACCTTACTGTGAAGTAAATAATAATGAGGGTATGGGGGCAGGGGAGGGACATGACATCTGGGCTTTTTTTTTTTTTTTTTGAGATGGAGTCTCGCTCTGTCGCCCAGGCTGGAGTGCAGTGGCCCGATCTCAGCTTACTGAAACCTCTGCCTCCTGGGTTCACGCCATTCTCCTGACTCAGCCTCCCAAGTAGCTGGGACTACAGGCGCCCGCCACCATGCCCACCTAATTTTTTTGTATTTTTAGCAGAGACATGGTTTCACCGTGTTAGCCAGGATGGTCTCGATCTCCTGACCTTGTGATCTGCCTGCCTCAGCCTTCCAAAGACATCTGGGCCTTTTGAAGATGAATTAACCTCACACTCTTCCAAGTAATAAACAAAGTCATTAGGTAAGTTTTCATTTGTCCCTGGATCCACAGAAGTTCCAGAATATGTTAGACAGTTGAAACTTTAAGCAAGGATAAGAAGCTAGAAACAGCAGCTTAAGAAACAGACAGCAGCTAAGATTTTCGTTGTTGGGAAGCATCTAATTTGATGCAGAAAAGAATTTGTTTGATGGTTTTCTGGTGGAGAATCAAACAGTTTACTGGAGAATGCTGACTGTCACATAGGGGAATATGTGTTCAATGCTAATGCGTTAATATTTTCAGAAGTTGTGCATTGCTTGCCACATAAGCTAAAAAAACAAAATTTGTTAAATGAATGTGACAATTTGATATTTATAGACATGATAAGCTCTTACATCATTAGGGAATATTACAAATATGTCAAGAATACATACATGTACATAAGCTATACACTGCATGCAGAACGTTAGGATGATTTTTGCCTTAAATTGTCAGTATTTGATATTGTTCAACAGGACTTGGCTGATCTGTTCTTCTATTTTTCTTCCTTTTGACTCTCTTTCTCTTTTGATTTGTTTGGGTATTTTTGTTTGACCTTTCTTCTTTCCCTATCATTTTCTTTGCTGTGTACAGCCTTAAGTTCCAGAAAGAGATACTACGAAAACCATCTGGGCTGTTCTTACCTAGACATCGTGGAAATCAGGCAGCAGGGATCTGAAAGATAGAACATTGACCCAAGAGAGACAAAATCTGAAGTTCTTATTTCTCATACTGTATTTTTTATCTCTTTGGATTATTTTTGATAGTTTCCATGTCTCTGCTGAAATTATCACTTTATACAGGTTGTTTACCTTTTTCACATTAGTGTTTCATCATAGTTAATTTAAAGTTCATGTTTGGTAATCTCAAAATTCATGCCTTTTCTTATTCAGCTACCATTATTTCCTTTCTTAACTCTTGGTGACTTTTTATTGTTTTCCTTTGTGTATGTTTTTGTTCTTAATTGTTTGCTGAACATTTTTATGAAAACATAATAGAAACTGAAGTAATTGATACCTATCTCCAGAAAAAACATGCCCCTTCTGTCAGTTTGCTAGAGTAGGGGCTGGGTCAATATACTTGGTGGTTGAGGTCTGGGATTTGTTAGAATGCCAGTTTAACTTAGTTCAACATTGTAGTCAAATATCTTGAGGATAGGTTTGACCTAGGATTTAAGCCTCATTGAGGTTATGAAGAGCTGCCTGTGGTCCACAGAAGAGCCACTTCCTTTCTAAACTGTGGGTGATCCCTTTCTACATCGCCACTTGCTGCCACCATTTTGGATATCTGGGGGGATTTCTTTGCTGCCTAGTACTGTCTGCTGTGTTGAGGGTGATCTCTTTTAGCTCTTCTGAGCCATCCTCAGCCTTGGACCTCAGCTGTAGTTGCCCTACCATCTGTGAGGCTGGTATTGCCAGGAAAGGGGTATTTCTCATCAACCTCCTTAGCTGAAAGCACAAAGTACCTCAAAAGCTTTCTCTCAGCTCTCTTTCCCTGTGCCTATATTGGGTGTGCTGATATTAGCACTCATTAAATATTTGAGACTGCCCAGGAGTCATCTGGGTTCAAATCTGCCATGTCAGCCCACATATGGCCACTAAAAGTTTAAGTGTTACACTCCTTTCTCCTGAGTCCTGTCCATGGAAACTTTATTCCCACTCCCCTCCACTTTAGGCAGCAATGAGAGAAGCCTAGAATTTTTTCCACTCTTGTAAAGGCTTTGCCACTTTCTAGAGTTTTAGTTCTTTTATGTTTGTGTGAGTCCTATTCTGGTAAAGTTTTACAACTATGTTGATGTAACCTATTTGGCTTGTTTTAATTGTAAAGATGAAAGCAACAGTCTTTTGAGATATCAACATCTGAAACAGAAGAATGTGTAATGATTTTTAAGTCTTTATAGCAACCTCCAGCACCTAATATGCAATGTTATAAAATAGGCACTCAATAAATGTTTGCTGAATAAATATGGATAAGAAAGCAAATTTCTCTTTTGCACCAGAGTGCAGTAGAACTAGGAGCAAGGGGTGAAATTATTGAGAAGTAAATTTGGATGAATATAAAAATGTATTGCATAAGAATTACGGCTGTCAAAAAGTTGAGCAGCCTTACTTCAGACGTAATAAATCACAAATTATTGAAAGAGCTTAACTAAAGATTTTAGGGAATAAATTAGAGTTCTATGAACCACATGAATGCTTCTTGTTAGATGATTAAATCTTTGTAACTCAGTGATTCTATATTATTGGGGTAAAAGCAAGATTTGTATTTGTAAACCACATAAAATGGGCCAAATATTTTCACATACTACTCATATGCACAAAGAAAACGTAGCTTCTAAGTGTCTTCAATGTCATTTTCTTTACCCGCTTCCATGCCGTAGGGCCACTGGGACAAAAACAAATGATAAATTTTGTGAACTTGCCCAGTGCATAGTATCTTAATTTATGGGGAATTGATGAGTCTCTTGAATGATTTTGTCTCGTGTCTCGATGTTTCAGATTCCCCCTGCCTATCTTCTCCACGATGTCTAGGTGAGAATAGTCAGGATGGTCCTTTTAGTATCTCTCTCTGGTTCATTGTCTGATGAGGTTCCTGGATCTTACCTGTAGATCCAAGTCCTATCTAGCATTTTGGGCATTTTTTGGTAGGAACTGGACACCACTATTCTACCACCAGCCTTAGGTAATGAAGTTCCCTGTACTGTGACCTCTTTGTCTATACTCACAACCTTCTTCCGATCTATCAGCCTTTTTGACCTTCCTCTAGACACTGGGCAGATCCTGGCAAGCCAGATAACCCAGAGACTCATCCTCAAGCTAGTCTATTCCACCCATCCTTTATTTATTTGTTTGTTTTTGAAGTGGCTTCTGGCTGGGCTTGACATACAGCCTTTGCAATGTATCTCATTACTGATCCCTCCCCCAGTTTGAAAGCAAGGACCACATGTCCTATCCATCAGTCCACAAACTCCATGTGCAGCTTTCTCCTTTCTCCATGTCCCAGCTTTTTCCTTGGGAGGAGGAATGGCCTTCTGTTATGTGGGAAATTACTTTGATGCAATGGTTGCCTCTAAGTATACAACCAGGCAAATTATACCCAAGTCATGGAGCGGAAAGTCTCATAGACTCAAAGTGAATGAGCCAATCACATGAGTTACTTAATTTAGAACACAAAATGAGGAGCATAGGAAAAGAAACAGAGTAACTCGCACTAGCTGAATTCTAGGTTATCATGCAATATTCAGGAATTCTATTTCTTTCTCTGTGGCATAAGCTTTCCATAATAATGGTGCAATTATGAGGATTGGAGTTGAGGTTTTATGTGGGAGTCCAGCAGATGGAATGTGCCTGGGACCAACACAAATACTCAAATACTCATTCTATCAGAGAGACCCAGGGGTAGGTACAGCTGGCCATATCTCAGAGCTGTAGTTTATCCATGACTGTTGAGTGGCCACAGATTTTTATTTGAGTGTCTCACGAAAAGAATATTTAGAGTAAGAATCTCTACCACCAATGGGTTTCTGATACAAGACTTCACGCATATTAAGTGATCCATAAGCCTCGTATATTTGATGCATCATGAATATTTAGTTTTCACTTCGTACTTCCATCCCTTTCTATCTTTGTTAGCACATCTATATTACAATTATTTTATGTTTGTTTGACATAGCAAGGATATATGATTAAGAAAAAATGTAAATGTCTGCTCAGTATTTTTAAAACATTATCTCAATCATACAGGTAAATGATTAATATTCTATCATTTTATGTTTTCAGAAACAAAGAAATGATTGACTTATTCAATTGATAATTATGAGTCTGTTCTGTGTCATACACTATAGTGGATATGTGAAATGCAACTATGAACTAGACTGTTTCTTAACTCTTGTTTTATGACCTTTAAGCAGTACTGGTACTAACACAGATATTCCATAGTTACAAATGATGCACTGAATTGAATTGATACCTTAAACTTTGCTAAATATTACAATATACTTTTAAACAGAAATCAGACATAGTTTTGGTTCTTGAGGGGCTTACAAAATAGCTAATGTATAAAAAAGGCAGATTCTTTTATTCAGCCATTCTGAAAAATATAATCAGGAATTGCATTTATGATGAGTTGTAAGAAAGCACTCATTTGAATTCTGAATGACTTCTTGGGTTACACTGTATTGGAGAGGTATGGATCTGGGATATCCACGTCAAGAAGAAAATTCTTAGATTTTTTTTTAACAGGCAAAATATTATCATAATATCCATAATATTGAAGCATTCACCTTCCAACAAACAAGTTATTCCTCTTTAACTGTTTAATTTTTGCAAATTTTGGAGATAAAGTGGTGCCTAAGAAGTCAATTAATTTATCTGCAAACAAAAAAAAAAAAAAGGAAGGAAGAGAGGGAAAGGTAGGGAGGAAAGGAAGGAAGTAGGGAAGGTCGGCAAGAGGGAGGGAGAATGGAAGGAAGGAAGGGAGAGAAAGAGAAATACATGTCTGAGATAACACATATTATAGCTGGGTGGAATGCATAAATTACTAGAAATGGCCATATTCCAAGACAGGAAACATATGATTAACTTACCATATGCATTGCTTTGATTACCTGCTTTATGTGCTAATCTGGGTAAGTTCTCTCTCTCTCTTTTACTTACACCTACTGGAATGAGACTGGATAAATACTTGATCACTATTTATAGACTACAGTGTTGACCCCCTCCTTCTGATTTTGCTTGCTATCTTTTTGCACTAGCATTTTTCCATTTATAGTTTATTTCCATGAAGTGCAATGGTTGTAACTCTCCTAATGATAAATATTGTGGTGCCTTGATCTTTTCAAATAAACAGTTTCAAACTGCAACACTCTTAACTTCTACATGCGTATTAACTTCTATAGCCATCATCAGTACATTATTGGATGAAAACAGGCCAACTGGATGTTGACTCTTTTCTGCTCTTCAGTTTTTGGGTGTTCTTGGATTTGTCAGCTCGCCTGAACTATTTGTTTTTTCCAGATTCCCTGGAATGCCAGCTGCTTACAGAACTCTGTTGTGTTTAAGCAGAGCATCATCAAGATTTTATTGCATGTTAGCGTGGACTCTCTGTCTGCTGCTCCATTTATAAAACCATTACACTAGTGCATTCTGTGGCAAACAGTGCCAATACTTACACAGATGTTCTATAGTTACATAGATGACCCACTAAATTTAACTGATAGTTTTAAGCTTTGCTAAGTCTTACAGTCTGCTCTTAAATGGGCAAAAGAGATAGAACTGAGTAACTAATGGACAGCTCTTTGGTTTGTAGTAGTCCATGTTGAGTGTAGGAAAACTAACCAGCCCTTCATAGTTTAGATACACTCAGAAGCATATTATTTCACTTCCAGTATGATAACTGTATGCTTTTCCTAATAATTTTTGGTTCAGCTGGCTTATAATTCAATTGATATAATTTAGATGGTTGCCCCTTCCAAATCTCATGAATTAAAATCCCCAAAGTTGAAGGTGGGGGCCTGGTGGAAGGTTTTGGACCATGGGGGGCAGATCCCTCATGAATGGCTTGGGCCATCCCCTTGGTAGTAAGTGAGATCTCACTGTGAGTTCATACAAGATCCTGATCACTTAAAAGTGTTTGACACCTCCTGTGCCTCTCTCTTTCTCCCTTGCTCCTGCTTTTGCCTTGTGATGTGCCTGCTCCCCTTTTACCTTCTGCCATAAATAAACGCTCTCTGAGGCCTCCCCAGAAGCCAAGCAAATGCCAGTGCCATGATTCCTGCAGCCTGCAGAATTGTGAGCCAATTTAACCTCTTTTCCTTTATAAATAACCCAGCCTCAGGTATTTCTTTCTAGCAATGCAAGAATGGCCTAAAACGAGAGAGTTTAGAATACAAAGTAATTTAAAAGCCACTAAAAAATTTAGTGGTTGACCAGTTAGATGTGTTCACTTTTTAGGAAGTTCTGCCTTCACTGAGATAATATATGGAAAGACTGCAGCATTCAATATTTATGCTCACTTCTGATAATTATTGTGTAGTCATATATAGTACTATAGTAATCCCAAAGTGAGATGCTAAGCAATGGGACACAGGGTCTTCACATATGTAAATCCTGGTTTAAGCTGGGGTACTAGAATTGCTTATATATGCCAATAAAATCTGCACATGTAGGCAGAGGAAGCTTCTGGATATTGTAAAATGTAAATCCTCTCTTAAGAAAATAACTGACGTGAAGCTTTTGTATCTGTGGATCATGCTGTCAGGATTTTAGTGTCCTAATAACCCAATTCTAATGAGTTCTTATGATTTATTCAATAAGGACTAAATTTTTTTATATAATCATTACCTCGATGGCTAATACAGTAGAATAAGTATCCCATTTAAGTATACAATTCTACATAGAGGTATTATTCAGCGCTCATCTTTGAATGACCAAAAAGTATTTCTTTTTAAATTGCAATTCCTTCTTAAAGAGATCGCTGTTGTAAAAATTATTTTTATTTCACAGGCTGAAAAATCTCTTTAAAATTTGCCAGAAAAATCTGTATAGTCTCTCTTCAAGTAGGTAAGAGTCATTTTAATTATCAAGAATAGTCACACAGCTTTCTTTTTTTTAAAAAAAAAAAAGAATAGTCATACAGATAAAGTAACAGCTGTGGATTCTATTTTGTCCATGGAATTATGTCATGGGTGAAGATTAGGAATTCAATGCTGAATTATTCTATATTAGTATCACCTCACTTTATTTCTCTGAGAATATCTATATCTATATAATCTTATTTTTCTTTTAAGACAGTGCACTTTTATGATTGTTCAAAGCAGTTAAGTGCCCTGCTGTGTTTCTTAGCTAATTTTGAACATATCTACTAAAATAAATAAAAATATATTTTTTTCCATTGATTTATCCGACAGGAATGAGATCATGACACCTAAACATAGTTAGGATGAGATGCACTTTTGGGTCATCGGCCAATAAGATATTTAGCCTATAACTTATATAACTTGGAGTGTAGGTGCCACATGAAAAAGTAAAGTAATTGTGAAACTTTTGTGATTGGGATTTATGTGGTTTTTTGTTGTTGTTGCTATTGTTGTTGTTATTCTACCTTCTCTTTTTCCTGGGACCATACACCTAATATGCTATCTGGACTGTTTTTTATTCATTTATTCAACCAACATCTAATGTGCTCCACTATGTCAAGCACTATACAAAGCATCAGAAACCTCGATTGGTAAATTCTATAGAAATGTTTGGAAATTAATGGATGATTGAAAAATAACTTCAGTAAGTTAAAACATTCAGTTGTTTTTGTTTGTAATCAGTGGGAGAGAAGCTCTTTGGAGTTATGGTTAAGGATTTCTGCTCTCTGCTGTATGAAGAGATAAAAGGAAGAGTGGATCAGCCATGGAATCTTCTCTGGCTCTGTGCTGCTTTAATTCATCAATACATGTACTGTTAGGAGTGTTTTAATTTTTAAAAAATTATTTGATATGCAATACATACAGAAGAATATGTAAATATGATCTATGATGCATTAAACAGTACCTATAACAACTATAAATCTACCTACAAACCTGCCACCAGATTTGTAATTAGAACATTATTTGCATATACAACTATTCTCAACATTACAGTTTGTTTTATAGTCCATAGTTTATGTAACTAATTCCTTGTTGACATACAGGTAAGGTAGTTTCTGACCTTTGCCACTTTACACCAAATAATAATATTCATTTATTTTAAAATTCCTATTACATTTTTTTGACAAACAGTTGAATTTTATGGTATGTAAATTATATCTTTATAAAGTTGTTAAGAAATAAAACATGAGAAACAAGCAAGGTTAAAGATTAGTAATACTCTTGTTCAACTTTTCCGTAGCTTATTTAAGTTTCCATATTCAAGATCTATGGATGACTGAGAGAATATGTTTGAAATCTCCAACTATTGTGGTGGGGTTTTAAATTTATCTGTATATTCTATAAAATTTTTTTCATGAATTTGAAAGTCACATTTAGGGGTGTGTGTGTGTGTATATATATATATAGATATAGATATAGATATATATTCAGCCCTATGGAGTATTTTGTCATTAGTTGGTAACTCTCTCTACCCTAAGAAAAATTTTGTTTTAAAGTCTATGTTTTCTGATATAAATCAGGTTCTCTTGACTTTTCTTTTGACTAGGATTTATTTACATATTTATATGTGTATGTTTGTATATATATTATATATTTCATATTGTTTAACAATCATACTTATGTTTTAAATGTATCTCTTATAAATAACATAGAGCAGAATTCATTAATCTAAGCTCAATCTTGAAATAATTATATATTATTCGAAAATATAGCTAGTTTTACTTAACTGTTTTTGTGTCTTCTGGTCTGCTTTTTATTTTTATTGTTTTTCTCTCTCTCCTGCATTTTTAAAATTGACTTTATTGTTATTTACCTCTTTCCAGGTTTGATTCCTTTTCCTACTTGTACTCCACTAATACATCAGATAAGCATTCTATTTTTTAGTCCTTCACTATTTGTTCTTGAAAACTTGCTCTATTTCCTAAGCTATACATACTAACTAGAGGCTACAATTAATCTAATCTCTAACACTTCACCCCATCACTCCCACCATAAATACATATAAAAATGTTCTAACATTTATGATCATCACCTCTCAATTTATAAGCCATTTTCATCTAGGTTAAGGTTCTCATTTTGGTGGGAGTCCAACCTATCGGACATCATTTTACAGTTACTTTTTGTTTAGTTTAACATACATTTCTAATTTATTTGCTGATTATTTCTTCTTTTATTCCTTTTGCCTTGGCTAGTGTTTCATTTTTGTTAATACACTTTCTTTAAAAGCAATTTTTGTAAAAACATTTTGGTCATAATAAACTCTCGGTTTTGGATTTATCTTAGAATGTCTTTTATTTGCTGTTATCTTGCTTTAAACACAGTACACAATGTATTCCTGTTTGTCCACACAGAGTCTATATTAAATTCAACTAGTCTGTTTCCTATTAGTGAAGTCGCTCTGGGATTTTGTTTTCACTGTCCTTTCTGCTAGCTGCTTATAAATTCTCCATATTAAACTTGTATGCATTTTGAATATTGTAAGATTTCAGAAAACTATTTCTTTACTGTAGCGTATATTCCCTTGCTACAGAATATATGTTTCATAAAATAGGGAGGTAATTTTGGAAGTCAATTCTTATTTTTCAATAAAACGAGTGTTTAATTCCATGACAATCTAATAGGAATGTATAGATGATATATGTAACTTATCCTAGATTTCTCTTGTAATATTTACTATTTTGTCATCGTATTCAAAGAATATTAACTGACCAAATGACGTATAGCATGAGAGGTATAACCCTTGGTCTATATATGCACTAAAATTTTGAGAGTTTGCCATAAAACAATTAAGAATCTTTTTGAGACTAGAATGAATAATCTGTTATAACTATTAATAATAGAAACAGGTGTCTGCTAAAAATGATCAGCATGAAGATTCTTTCCTTCCTGAGTTCAGAACTATTTGAAATTTTTTTTTCATAGAATTTTTATTCTTATGTTTAAGTGAGATTAAAATTTTTTACTCTAGATTTGCGGTCAAGAGAATTTTTGTACCCTCCTTACCAAGCCCAAATCTTCAGTCAAAACAAACCAAGAAAACTTTGAACCAAATGAAGAGTTCTGTCTTTTAGTTTTATTTCTGTAATGGAAAGATAGCCCCCATCATCCTACCTCTCATAATAAAAGGTACAAATCTGGAAGAGATTTTAAAAATCATCTAGTCTAAATCCCTCATTTTTCTGGGAGGACAATCAGCCCAAATGGTGATATGAATGAGGGAGAGGACGTGAAGTCCAACTAACTTGTTGGTGGGCCAAGAACAGAGCCCATTCCTGTTATGACACAAGCCTGCCTTCTATTCTCCCAAGAGCCACGGAGCAACCAATAGTCTCAACTTATTAGTGGATGAAAAATAGCTGACATTTACCACGTTCATGAATTCTCAGAATACTCAGATGAGATACATACTATTATTATCCTGATTCTGCAGATAAGCAAATTGAGGCACAGAAGGGTTAAGTAACTCACACAATGCTACACAGTTGGTGAGTGGCATGACAACAAATCCATTAGTCAGATCAGGAAACTGAGCCCACAGTTAAGCCCTAATACTGCCACTGTGTGCAGTATTTGATACAACAGGAGGTACTTTTGAAGACAAATTTTTGGTTTGTAAGTTAAATGAGGATTGATTTTGTCATAAAAATTTTCCCTTTCTGGTTATTAATGAATAAGCATGACAGAATTAAAAGCAAGCTGTAGACCTCCCTCTGTTTTGGAAAGGTTCTAAAGAAGAATTAAGTAGATGAAAGCTGAGATTTCATCCAGCTGGCTGGATTGAGAAAAACCTAACTGCTTTACAATATAGCCCACGGATGAGAGTCAGCTGGAAATGCACAAATGTGGGCCAAGAAATAATGATAGAAAAGAATAAGAAAAAGAGGAAAATTCTCCACACAAAAGCCCTGGGGTTGGGGGTTGAGAGACGAATGCCATCTCTGTGGATATCTTTGACTTTGAGACATGACTCTACTTCCTGGAATCGAATCTAATCCCATAAGGAAAGTTTATTCATACTTGCTTTCAATTCACTAAAAAGAGGTGCCACAATTTTCAGTGAGTTTTAAAAATTACATTTAAAAATTGCATTCTTACCAAAGAACATGTTAAGATACATTGGTGAATCTGAAAGATACATTTTTTTTTTTTTTTTTTTTGAGACAGTCTCTGTCTGTCGCTCAGGCTGGAGTACAGTGGCGTGATCCCAGCTCACTGCAACCTCCGCCTCCCGGGTTCAGGCGATTCTCCTGCCTCAGCCTCCCAAGTGGCTGGGATTACAGGCGCATGCCACCATGCCTGACTAATTTTTGTAGTTTTAGTAGAGATGGGATTTTGCCATGTTGGCCAGGCTGGTCTCCAACTCCTGGCCTCAAGTGATCCACCTGCCTCAGCCTCCCAAAGTGCTGGGATTACAGGCATGAGCCCCCACACCTGGGCCAAGAGATGAATCTTAAATCAATTTTCAGTACATGTGCAATAGGCATACAGTAATTTCACTACATTTTAATAAAGTGCTTAAGATAAATTACTAAATTTTGGGTAAAACAAGAAAATTCTACCATTATTTCTGCCCAGACTACTAGTGTAGGCAAATTAGGGTATAGTAAAATCAAGGTGTTTGACTTGAGCAGGGGTCTCAAGCTTGAGACCCAAATCAAATCCACCCACAAAGATGCTTAATTTGGTCAGCAAGAGTTTCTGTTGTTGCTGGTGGTGTTTTGTTTTAGTTAAGTTTGATTTGTCTTTAGGCATACTTGATGTTTCAGTTGACTATAGGTACTACCACTCTCAAGCGCTTTGTATTTTCTGCCACTCTGACACCTAATGATATCTGGATTTCCTACCCTCTGGTTAGCTGTGGGATCCAGTCAAAAGAATGGTGATAAGGGCATGGTAACTCTATAAAATGTATAGAAGAAATCCACCCAATTAAATTTAACCACCACAATGAATGAGGTAGATGAAATCATTGGCTCCAATTATTCGTCCCTCCCAGTAAACACGTCTTCCTCCAGGAAATGTTTTGGTGACCTCCCTCTGTGAGTAGAGAGTACTTCTCTGCCTTCTGTGTTTGGTTTTGGACACATAACTTGCTGTCATTAATAGAATGAGGCAGTCCTGATAGACTGCCAATTCTAAACCTAAGCCTCAAGCAGCTTTGCGAGATTTGCCTGCTCTCTAGTACCTAAGATATCACTACGAATCACTATGATAAAACGATAATTTTAGTGAGCTGATCAGTAGTGTCAGGAGGAGGTAGTATACAAATTGTACATATGGATTTAAAAAAAAATGTTCACATGTTCAAATTCACTAGAAATCAAACATTGCAAATGAAATTCCTAAAAGGTAACACTTTGCATATCACATTCGAAATTTAAAAATACCGTACGCCCAGTGTAGTTAGGTTTTGGAGGGAAAGGTAAAAGTACAGTGCTAATATACATTTTTGTAGGAGTCTAGATTGCCTTCACTTTTCTGGGAAACGATTTGAGGACAGTATCAAAAGCCTTAAAAATATTCATAAGAGCTGGGCGCAGTGACTCATGCCTGTAATCCCAGCACTTTGGGAGGCCACGGCGGGTGGATCACAAGGTTAGGAGTTCAAGACCAGCCTGGCCAAGATGGTGAAACCCCGCCTCTACTAAAATTACAAAAATTAGCCCTGCGTGGTGGTGCATGCCTGTAATTCCAGCTACTCGGGAGGCTGAGGCAGCGAATTGTTTGAACCCAGGAGATGGAGGTTGCAGTGAGCCAAGATCATGCCACTGCACTCCAGCCTAGGCGACAGAGACTCCATCTCAAAAAAAAAAAAAATATATATATATATGTATATACATTCATGAGATTTTTTGCCCAACAATTCTACATGGAGAAATATTTCTTAAAAAGATGATTGCACAGAACCCATAGCATACAAAGCTTTATCATAGCTTTGTTTATAATAGCAAAACATTAAAAACAGCAATAGAAAATTGATTTTTAAGTGATGAGCTAAAAACATAATTGAATCCTATAAAATTATTAGAAATATTTTTTATAGAGGTACATGTACTGACTTAGAAATAGTTACAAATATGTAGTTAAATACAAGAAAAAGAAAGTTACAAAATAACACCTAGAGTATAATGTTACTTTTGGGCAAAAGTGTTAAAATACATTTTGTATAAAAGTTAGAAATCTATACTGCAAAATGTAAAACAGGTGATATAAATTTTATTTATGCTTACCTGTAGTTTCTAATTTATATAAGTATGTGTTGCTTGTGTAATTAAAAATTCAATAATAAAAGCATTAAATAGATAATTCAATATTTTAGCATATCTCAGGTGCAGAATAGCCTCCTTTATAGCTATAAGTTGAATCATGGATTTTGTTTCTAAACTTTTCCCCTATCTCCAGAATCTCTCCTGGTGACTGTGCACTCCTGATCCTACTGTTGTTTTATGTTTGACCTCAATAGTAATGGGTTCCTTGGCTCTTGGTTTCCCTGACAGTGTCACTGCCAAAACATAGAAAGATAGAAAAGGTAATGTGAATTTTACAAATTTAACATTATAATCAAATAAAACTTTCACTTCTCATTTTTTTTTCTAAATGCTCATATACAAACTTTTCTAATTTACTCATATTATTCTTGCCATAATTTCCAAGAGATTATGAGAAGCCTTGGAATGATCATGAATGTAACAATCCAGTAAGTCCTCAATGTCATAGACAGGTTATTGAAAACTACAACTTTAAATGAAACAACATACAACAGATTGAATTTTACTGTAGGCTAATTGATATAAATAAGAGTTAGGTTCCTATGGCATACTTCTGGTCATTTTTAAAGACCCAGAACACTTCTAATATTAAACATTGAGGTAAATGTGAGCTGTACATACATTTAACGAAGATGAATAAAAACAAGTAAGATAATGATTTGCCTAGTTTGTAATTTGTGGTGAATCAGTTAGTGACTGCAGTCACAGTCCTGTGGATTAAGTCAAGGAATTAATGTTTGCAAAGTAACAACTGTAAGGTGCACCTCCTACCACTAGGCAGTTAAAAACAATCACAAATATTGTAGGGTTGCTGAGTGCTTTTGTAGTACATCATTTTGTGTTTGTATGATTATTATATACTTTATGAATTTTTATTTCACAAATGATTTGTCTTCATTCATTCATTCACTCATTCATTTTCCAAGGACTTACTACAGTTTAAGATTGCGGGTGGCAGGAGGCTTTCCCCGCAGCTTAGGAGCAGGGCAGGAACCAGCCCTGGCCAGGCTGTCGTCCCATGGCAGGGCACACTCACACACCCCTGCACTCACTCACACTGGGACCCTGTAGACATGCCAATTCCCCTAACATGCATAACTTTGGGATGTGGGAGGAAACTGCAGGAACTGGAGGAACCTACTTAGACACGCAAACTCCACACTGATGGCCCAGGATGGAAATAAATACTTTTCTCATCAATGATATAAGGAAACTACATTGGGCAAAAGGATATCATTCGAGGACCTGCAGTAAACAATTGACAGTTGTAATCACTGTAATACTGTTCATACTTCTTATTGCCTATTGTTATCATTAAGAGATGAAAGTAGGCAATCTGACTTTGCTAATGATCTTGAACATAAGGAAGTTAATTTCACAATTATATTTGAAAACAATCACAAATATGGCGGGATCACTGAGTGCTTTTGTAGCACACCATTTAGATGCACTGGTCAGAAGTTTTTTAGCCTTATCCACCCCACCATTGCAAAGAATGTTAAGTTAGGGCACAAGAGCAAATCAAACCTGAGTTCAGTAATTTTCTCATTGTTCTTCCCTGCTGGGAAGTGCAATCAATGTCCAATCTGCTGCCATAACTACATCTGTAGCCAATTCGGCTCGGTGCCTTGACAAATATAGAATTTTACTTTATTTTGATTAGTTTTTTTTTGTAATTATCTTTTGGTTAGAACTTCATCAGTTTCTCATCTTTTCTTTAAAAGTGTTCATATTTTCTTACATTGCCCAGCCACCAAATGGATTTCTTTTAACAGAAACTCTTAGTCATTGAGCTTAGAAACAGCTTCCCTTCTGCTATTTTAAGGAATCAAAGTACAAATTGAATGTGGGATTTATTTAATGACTTTAGCTTGGTTTTATTTTTTGAGTAGTTCTCAGCTAAACACACTTCAAATATAGAAAATAATTACAAAGAACCTAGAAAATGATTTCTGAGTCTCCTCAGAAATGTCATTATTTCCCTTTTTCTAGCCACCAAAACAAATAGAAATAAAAGTCTACGACACATAGGAATAAGTACATTTAGGGGACTCAGATAGATGTTCTATACTAATTAATAATGCAGATGTAGGGATTTACCTAAGAAGTATTACTGAAAACTTCAGTATTTATTTATAGGAATATAAGTTTAAGATAACAGCATGCAAGTATTTAAGATATTTTTAAGAATTTTGGGGAAGTATAAATCAGATCATCAGATCATTTAAGAAGGCATTAGATATAACTAGACTTCAATGGATTCAATGTATTTTTGCAGTCCAGAAAGGGACATTTTTTCTTTCAAAGTTGAATTGTTACTGTACATCAGATGATTTTATTTTGCCAATAAAATGTAATTATTTTACTCATTCTAGTCATATGACCATCACCACTTAACTAGCTAGGTGACTTTTGAGTTATTGACATCTACAATTCTATGTTTCCAACATGAAAGAGGTTAAGTACAACTTCTTTTATTCATTCATCCAGATACTCATTTATTCTTCCCTTCATTCAACAGCTATGTGAGAGGCTAGTTTATGACAGGTCCTGAAGATATAAAAATGAACAAGACAGACAACAAATTGTTGCCTTTCTGCCTTGTCTGCCTTCAGAAAACTTAACTACTGGTGGGGAAATTCAACCCTGAGAACGATTGTAAAACAGTGTAAATGGTAGGAGTGAAACATAGCGCCGTGGGAGCACTGGGGAGCGGCAACTGACCCAAACCATCCATGCAAGTTTTCCCAGAGAGGCCTTATTTATGACATGACATATGAGTTATGAGAAATAAATAGGAACTCTTACGAACACTTCTCATAGCTCTTGTGAAATTATTATCTCTGTATGGACCAGCATAAGCTAAGTGAACAGGATCGCATGGTAAAAGAGATGTGAACATGTTTGCAGAAGTGGCTAAAATTAATCTGAAGTACTGCTAAGGGGAAAGGTAATATTGTTAACACACATCAATTCCTTCCACCTTTTCTCTCCTTCAGTCTATACCTTTAGACTATATTTGACCCTAGCGGTTTATGTCTGAACCTAAAAATACATTCTTTGAGGTTAGTGGAGGAGCAAAATTGGCAGTTTTCTAGAAGGCAAATTGATAATATTCGACGTGTTTATATATATGATCCCATACATCCCTTCTAAGAGTTAATCCTTAACAGGTACTCGTATATATAAACAGTAATTTCTACTCAATAATACTATTATAATAGCAACTTTAGGTAGAAAACTTAACAATGGGAGAATAAGAATGAGTATTCAGGATTGATATGGTTTGGCTTGGTGTCCCCACACAAATCTCATCTTGAATTGTAATCCCTACATGAAAGAGGTGACTGGATCATAGAGGCAATTTCCCTCATACTCTTTTCATGATAGTGAGTGAGTTCTCACGAGATCTGATGGCTTTGTAAAGCAGTTTTCCCTGCTCTTGCTCGCTCTCTCACCTGCTGCCATGTAAGATGTGTCTGCTTCCCATTCTGCTATAATGGTATAAGTTTCCTGAGGCCTCCCCAGTCTTGCAGGAGTCCATTAAACTTTCCTTTATAAATTACATAGCCTCAGGTATTTCTTTATAGCAGTGTGAAAACAGACTAATCCAAGGATACACAGCATTAAGAAATTTTATTCTCAGAAAAATAATGAAAAAATGTACTCTGTATATTGTTTTGCAAGATACAAAATGGAATAACATAAAGCTTTTCTACAATGAGTTCGCATTATTTTAATATTAAAAATCCTCTTTTTGTGTTCTATTTTATTTCATTTTCAAACATATATGCAACATTTGCACCAGCCCATTCTCTATATTTGGGGGCTCTATCAACCTCCCTAGTATTCTAATCTATCAAAGTACTTTATGGTATATTATTAAGTCTACTTCATGAGCTTGAGAAAAAATGAGCTAAATTGGTAGCTCCTAAACTGGTAGAAATCTGTAGAATTTGAAAAAAATTATTAATATTTACTGAGCATTTATTCCCTGGAAGATACAATGTTCAGCAATTTACATCTATTACCCTGTTTAATCCCCTCGCGAAATCAATCACATGTCCGTGAGCAAGGTGATATGAGTTCTCTTTTTCTGTTGAACAAGCTCAGGTTCAGAGATGTCAAGTGACTTTTCCAAGGTCAGGCAGCATGTCGGTGCCAGGGCTGGAGTTTCAAACCAAGGTGTGTGAAGCTGCAACCTGAGCTGTTATAAAGTAAGCGTTATGATGCTACCCACCTTCATTATGAAGAAACTGAAGTTATTTATCAGGAAGAAACGGAGCGATCTTATCTAACATAATCTAATCAAGCTGCTGCTGATTTTCAAATCTATGTGTTCTGATCATAAATTGTACGTGCTGTTCCACAACATTGTATCTATATGCTTGGGATAAAAAGTCCTTTCAGTTACTCCCAATGATGCATACAGATAGGTTTTCAAAAATAAGTAAAGTGCAAGGGAGAGCCTAAAAGAAACAATGTTCTGATGATTTCCCCATCATCTTCCTAATTCCTTACTTCTACAAGTAAATATGTTCGTGACTGGTTAGGCCTGAGACTCTAAGGCCTGATTTCAACAATTTGGGCTCAATGCAAGTCCTTTATTTCCTCTTTACACCCTTGTCTGCTGTGCCATCTTCACACTACAGGGTGATGCCATGTTGGGCTCCAGATCTTCCTCACTCTCAAATCCTTGAGATTTGAGAATCTCAAATTGGTCAAACATGAGCAATTTAAAAAACATGTATCTGGCCTGATTTGATAAGAAGCAAGACAAACAGATTTTTAAACGAACAAAAAACGTACAAAAATCTCAAACAGCATCTTATCTAGTTAATTAGAACGACAACAATAACAACAAAAACGATACCTGTCAATGTCTCAATGATCTTCTTCCTCAGTTCACCTGGAAAACAAAGCTTTCACATAAAAAGGTGACAACAACATACTATAACTGTTAAATAAAAATAATGACTTTCTTCCACTTTGGCTGAAACGGGGCCATCCACAACTATATCATCACTCAGGTGGAAACCAATCATGGCTCAGCCTGCATTAGTGTCATGATATTACGATTGTGATTCACTGATGGCCAGCTGCAGATAGCTAGTCCCATAAATAAGCCCCCTCATTTAGAACGCCACAGAAAGTGCTCAGACAACTGGCAGAGGCAACATAAATATTGATCATCAGCATAATAATTGTAATTTACATTGGCATACAGTCTACCTCCTTAGGACCATTTAAATAGCTCTGAATATTTCTCTCTAATTTGTCCTAATTCAAATACAGATGCGACAGGTGTTTATCTCTGCCACAATATGAAAAATAAATTAAAAGTATAAACACAATTTGTGTTTGAGGAGTAAGATGATATCTAGCTTTGTAGGAAACAAGCTGATTTTATAGTACTTTAAAAAACTACTTGTCAGTATTTATAATGCTGCAGTATGCACCATGATAGTAAATTATTTTCATTTTCTCATTCAAGCATGTATAGTTATTATTCTTTTTGATTTCAGTCTATTTGTGGTTTGAACCTGAAATCCATTTACTTATAAATATTGTGCAAAAACTTTTTCTTTCTTACGATTCACTCATCCCAAATTTCAAAACAAACCTCAAAATGGCATTTAAAAAAAGCTGTACACAGATTTCTAAATGGAGATTATGCTATATAAATGCCATACAAATATTTCTATATCTAGTCTCTGGCTTTGGATCTGCTCATTTACATAGTTAAAATTTATCTTTCTTTACCGGATCATTCTCATCATAATACAAACATGCTCCAACATTCCCCATCATGAGATAAACCAACCAACCTGGTCCCTGGCATCTCCCTCCTAAACGTTAATTCTCTATTCACGGACAATTTCTGAACCCATTTCCTCACCTTCTATTCTCTCTTCCATGCATTCCCAGTTCCTCTTCTTTCTTTACCATACCAATGTTCTTTTCATGGTTATCAATGACTCCTAAAGTTAGCAATTAAAGTACACATTTCACTGTAGTCACTGGGCATAGCATTTTAGCAGCCTTTGCCATAGAGGCTAACTTCTAAGGAGGGATAATGATACTACACTGGCTTCTTTGTCTTCTGAGAAAACACTTTCTTGGTATTCCTCCTACCTCTCTGACAGTTCCTTCTCTATCTCCTTAACAAATGTCTTTTCTCAAAATGTTTATCGATTGTTGTGCTGCCCCAAGTGGGCTGACATCTCTTGCCTGTTGTATGTGCATGAAGTCTTAAAACATTCCATTCTGCCCCCATAGACTCAAAAACCACCTAAAGAGGCTTCTGCCTCCTAAATCGATATTTCCAGCTCTGACCTATTCTTTGCATTCTAGATGCACTTGCCCAACTGCTTATACGCAACTCTACTTGGATGTCCTATAAATATCGCAAACTTACTCATTTTCCAAGCTGAAATCTTGCCTCTACAATCTCCCTAAATTTCTTCTGTCTCATTTCAATAAACAAACACCATTTACTGAGTTTCCTCAAGCCAGAATTCTACCCATGAATCTGCTAAGCAAGAGTGAAATGTATCTTCAACGTACATCTCACGTTTTTCTACTGTTTCTGTTCCACTGTAACCACTCTAGTCCAACCCATGCCCCTCTTTCTGGAACTTCTGCAAATTCTACTGTTGCTCATCCACTTTTAACCATGGCCTTCCCCTATTCCATTATTCATACAGCAACCACCGTGAGCTTTTTTAAGAACAAAATTCAGAACATGCCATTTTCCATCTTAAATCCTTTGATGGCTTCCCATATCCTTAAAATAACACACAAAGTGTCAACAAGGGTCTTCAAAAGCTGGCCTCCCACCTACCTTTCCCCCTGCATTTTGTACCACACTCTGCACTTTTCCTGATATCCTTTTGTGTCCAGAATTGGTTCCTTCCAGTGGGTTCTTGGTCTCGCTGACTTCAAGAATGAAGCCGCGGACCCTCTCAGTGAGTGTTACAGTTCTTAAATATGGTGTGTCCGGAATTTGTTCCTTCAGGTGTTCGGATGTGTCCGGAGTTTCTTCCTTCCAGGGGGTTTGTGGTCTCGCTGACTTCAGGAGTGAAGCTGCAGACCTTGGCAGTGAGTGTTACAGCTCATAAAAGTAGTGTGGACCCAAAGGGTGAGCAGCAGCAAGCTTTACTGTGAAGAGCAAAAGAACAAAGATTCCACACGTGGAGGCAGACCCCAGCGGATTGCCACAGCTGGCGCAGGTGACCAGCTTTTATTCCCTTATTTGGCCCCGCCCACGTCCTGCTGATTGGTCCATTTTACAGAGCACTGATTGGTCCATTTTACAGAGTACTGATTGGTCTGTTTTACAGAGTGCTGATTGGTGCATTTACAATCCTTTAGCTAGACACAGTGTGCTGATTGGTGTGTTTACAATCCTTTAGCTAGACAGAAAAGTTCTCCAAGTCCCCACCTGACCCAGAAGCCCAGCCAGCTTCACCTATCACTTTCACACAAACTTCCTTTCTGTAACTGGGCCTACCAAGGCCTTTTCTGCTGAGGGGTCTGCTGCTGAGAACACCCTTCCCATGGCACTTTGGCTTCTTGTTGCAGATCACAGGTGACCTCCTTACAGATGATGTCAATCACTAAGGTTCCTAAAATACTCCATCTGCAAAACTCACCCACCCACCCAACGAGTCTCTAACACATATTTCTGTTTATTTCCTTCGTATCACTTCTTTTCTGCTCTCTAATTATCTATGTGTTTATGTGTTTAATTTTGTATTAATCTTTAAATACATAAATTAAACACATGAATTTATGGTGCATATTATGACCTCTGCCAGAGCAAGGAGCTTGTCTGTCTTTTAACATTTTTTTCACCACCACCTAAAAAAGTGCCTGGCACAGAGTAGATGCTCAATAAATATTCATTGAATTAACAGTAAGGCTAATCCCATCACATTTTACTTAACCTTAATCTGTCCACTCACAAGTATTAAAGGAAAACTTATTATATGCAGTAGTTGATAAGGAACTAATGGCAAGGTATTAACCAGCTTCTAGAACAGGAGTCAGCAAACTCCAGCCGACAGGCCAAATCCTGCCTGTTGTGTGTTTTTGTAAATGAAGTTTTATTGGAACACAGTCATGGCTATTCATTGACAAATTGTATCTGGCTGTTTGGGGGCTCCAAAGCCATTGTTAAGTGGTTGCAATAGAGACTATCTTAGCTTTCGAAGTCTACAATATTGGCTTTCTGATCCTTTACAGAAAAAAAATGTTTTGACCTGTTCTCTAGGAGATCCTAGTGTGATAATTGCTTCAATAGGAAATCTTCTTTAGTTGGGTTGTCAAATCTAAAAGTTAAGCAAATAATTTGAAGGACAGTCTAGTATATCCCACACAAAATCAAGATCAGTGTCTGTTCTCCATCTTGACCTCTCCATATTTACAGTCCTGAGTCCACAATCAGAAGATTCAGGTTTAGTTGAGACTCAACCATTAACATTTTAACCTTCAGCAAGTCCTTAAAATTTTTCCATTTCATTTTCATTATCTGTGAGATGAGAAGAATAATATTTGCTTTAACTAATTGACCAAATTCTTGTTAGGAGAGGTGAAGTGGTACACACTTGTGGCAACATTTTGGTTTTGACTCCATCAACAAAACTTTCTGAGGGCTTCTTAAGTAATACCTCTCTTCTAATTTTTCCCTTATACTCTGTTTTTATTCTGGCAAAGGCTATTTAGAAGAAAGGTTATAAGCACGACTTCTGGAATTAGAATGTCTGTATTTAAATTCCAACTCTAGCATATTAGAGTTTTTGACCGTGATACATAACCTCTTCAAGTCTCAGATCCTTATTAGTAAAATGAGAAAAATAAGATCTAATGTTCCTATTGAGGTTACTGTGAGCCAGACAGTACTCTAAGCCCTTTAGATACCTAATTCATCTAATATTCCAATAACACAATGATGTCCGGGTCATCATCATCATCATCATCATCATCATCATCATCATCATCATCATCATTCCATTTTGTAAATAAGAAAATTGAGGCACTGAATAGTTAAATAACTTGTCTAAGATCACTGACCAAGCAAGTACAAGAGCTGAGATTTGAACCCAGTCCTTGGGTTTTGCCTCTTATTTTAGCAGAAGATTCTTGTTAAGATTAAATGAGGAAAGTGAGGAGAAGTTCTTGACAGTTCCCATATTAGAAAGCACACCATAAATGTTAGCTATTACTTTATCCCATCATCTATACTTTATTATTCTGAGAGGAAAATACCCTATGTTATTTTTTCAGAATTACTTTATTTCTAGATAAATTAAGTTGAAATGAGAATATTTAGTTGATCCATTCACATGGTACCCTTTAAATCACAACAAAACTGACTTTTTTTGTATATAATGTCACATTCTCTACTAAAAGATACTAATATGCAGATCAACCAAGTTTCTTGGTAGTCTCTCTGTATGCATCCTGAATAATCATGATTAAGTGAAAATTATCTTTTAATTTCTATTATAAGCCTATGTGTCTCTGAGATGTCTGCAATACACATTAGGCAACAGAGTGAAAAATCTATGATGAATAGGTAAAGTGAAGGGTTTTTAAAGTTGTTTCTCAGAATTTTAAAAATTTAGAAGTTCTAACAGGGCTTTCTTGGGAGCATCAAGGATAAGGCTTCTTCTGTCAATGCTTATAAGAAGATGAAAAGAAACCAACAGCCAGTTTTTGTGGCAAGGCTTGACCAGTTATGTTGGGCATCTTTTCTAAGCTGCTGACTCATTATTGCAAAAGAACTAATTGAGTGAAGCTATCTGTGACCAGATCCTGTTGCTATCTGGGATGTAAACAATATGTATTCTTTCTCTCCAGCTTATGTTCTTTTCTTTCTGCTGGTATTTTGGGGAAACTTTTATTTCATTCTGTATGGTCTGGTGAGTCTGTCAGTCATAACGCCTCACTCATGGCACAAGGATGGGAATGTGACACAAGATAACCATCTCACCCTAGCCTACCCTTTGTGTTTTGGGTACACATGAGGCAAATCACTCTTCCCTGGTATTGCAATTTGACAGTTGGAAGTAAGTGTACTTTACTAGTGTTCTGATTATCTACCACTGCATAACCAATCATCCCAAACTTTGTGGCTTTAAAAAGCAACCATTTTCTTATGATCAAGTCTTATGTGGTTTAAGAATTCTACTGGGGCAGAGCAGGATAACCTGTCTTTCTGTTCCACAATGTCTGAGTCATTCCCTTGGAAGACTTGAATTGCTGTCTGGGTAGAAGCCAGAGTCATCTGGAGGTGTCATCACTTATTTATATGTCTGGTACCTGGGCTGGGATGACTTGAAGGCTGAGTACAATTGGGACCATTGACCAGAATACCTACATATAGACTCTCCCTGTGTCCTGGGCTCCTCATAGCAAGGTGGCTTAGTCCCAGAAAGCAGTGATCTGAGAGGGATGGTCCGGAGAGGAAGTGTTACAAGAGACCCAGACTGAAGCTGCAAGGCTTTTCTGGCAGAGCCTTGGAAGTCACACAATGTCATTTCCCTTATATTCTCTTAATTGCAAGTTAGTCACTAAGGCCAGCCCAGATTCAGTTGGTGGCCGTAGCTAGGGTAGTTAGGGGGAAGGGGAGATTAGATTCTGTCTCTTAATGGGGGATTGCCAAAATGACACTGCAGAAGAGCATAAAAAATGAGGACCGTATGGGAGGACACAGCTTGGGTCTGTCAGCAGTCATCTTTCTCATCAAATGGGGTAGGCCTATTTGTATAACAACAATACAGGTAAGAATAAGCAAAATCAAGGAATGGACAAAGGACCACCAAAGAAATCACTCCAAGCTCTAATTAATCTGCACAATGTTATTTATACTCTTAAACTCTCTGGTAACGTAGAAGATTGTGTTCATGAGTGCAGTTTCTAATACTTGTTACCAAACTGAGTCTCAAACCGAAAAATTTATTTCTCTGCAAATTCACACTAATGAGCTTGCACCCTGGACTCAGGGAATAGAGTCTCGTACTGTATATTCTCTGATGTCTTCAGAACCTTGGCAAAGTCACTAATCCCTTAAAATTAAAGATTTATTAATTCATTAACCATTACAATCAAAATGTGATTGACAATCTCTTTTTTAGTAAGCCATAATTCTGCATCATTTAACTTAGTGTTGTTTAAAATGAGTGAATGTGTTCATCAATAACAGATTTACCATTATGGTAAACCATGGCCAGGCCTTCTTTACTGAATCTCCAAGTAAACTCAATAATATATTGAAAACTAAAGCATTGAAGTACCTAAATTATGTAACATAAACTTTTGAGCTTATTCTGTTTTACAGGAGATGATATAGCAGTGTGAAAAATCTTTTCTGATCTTAAAAAATACTTCTAGAGTTAAACTCTATAATTTTGCTTCACATTTAAAAATTTTATTCTACAGCTGGGTGCGGTGGCTCACGTCTGTAATCCCAGCACTATGAGAGGCCAAGGCAGGTGGATTACCTGAGGTCAGGAGTTCGAGACCAGCCTGACCAACATGGTGAAACCCCACCTCTACTGAAAATACAAAAATTAGCTGGGCGTGGTGGCAGGTGTCTGTAATCCCAGCTACTCAGGAGACTGAGGCTGGAGAATTACTTGAACCCGGGATGCAGAGGTTGCAGTGAGCGGAGATTGCGCCATTGCGCTCCGGCCTGGGCAACAGAGTAAGACTCCGTCTAAAAAAAAAAAAAAATTATTTTGCATAGCCCTACACTCACCACCACAAGTAAATGGATGGCACAGGCTTTACTGTAGAGAACGTTGAGAATACAGATGCAAAAGAGAAAAGCACGTGTTAAGAAAATTTTTCCCAATTACATGAGTGTACTTTTTGATGGAACATGTTTTACATTATGAAGAGTGGTACTTTAAAACATGTATGTAATACATAGTGCATTGTAGAAAAAGATTAATTTTCTCAGATTTTTTTGGTCCCAAAATGGTACTTATATGAGCCTCTTTAAAAATGCAGGACTATGTTTTAGATTTGTAGTACTAACCATACATACATGTGTACATACATCGTACATACATACGTAGTGCTGTGGCTGCTGAATTCCTCAGAAGACAGTTTGTGATAATGCACATCATAAGATGGTAGTGGTGAAAGTTATTTAAGTTGAAAGAAACCACCCGAAACATATCGTGAGAATATTTCACGAACACAGTGGCAGAGACTAGATTAAGCAATGCATATCCAAGGAAATTTGAGGTTTCCTTTCTAATGAAGCGGTTTAAAGAAGAGGGTAGTAGGAGATACTCTTGACTGAGTAGATTGAGGCCCCAAGAATAGGGCTTTGAATGCAGAGCTAAGAATTTTGGAGTAAGTGGAGAAGTATCAACAGATTTATCTCATAGCTCATTATTATGGTAAACACTGTAGCATTTTAAAGCATTTTTCAGCACAATGTGTTATCTATTTTGTTCAAAATCATATTTGCAGCCCATGTGCTCATGGATTTTGGTTTTCTTCTTTGAGCCTAGAGGGGACTCCAGTATCATCATTTTATTGATATAGATCAGTGGTTCTTAGAATTTTCACGACCCATTTAAATTGTCATAATCTCCTCGTGCTTCAGACAGATGACAACAAAATGTGGTGGCCTAAACAACAGAAATTTATTTTCTCACTGTTCTGGAGGTGGGAAGTCTGAGATCAAGGAGCCAGCATGGTCAAGTTCTGGTGAGGGCTCTCTTCCTGGCTCCTAGATGGCCACATTTTTACTGTGTCCTCATGAGGTCTTTCCCCTGTGTTTGCGAAAAGACAGAGAGAGAGAGAGAAAGAGATCTTCTCTTCTTATAAGGTCACCAGTTCCAACAGATTAGGACCTTACTCTTATGACCTCATTTAACCTTAATTACTTCCTAAACATTCTATCTCCAAATATAGTCACATTAGGACTTAGGGCTTCAACATATGGATTTGGGGTGGGGGGCATGACAAAATTCAGTCCATCGCAACACTCTTTGGAATTACTGAGCATCCCAAAGAGCTTTTGCTTATATGGGTTATATCCATTGATATTTATTATATTAGAAATAATATCAAAAGAATTTATAAACACTATGCTCCAATGCACATTTCATTCATTGTTGGAAAACTCCACTTATACTCATGGGAAAATAGAATGAAAAAGGCAAATAGCATTTTAGTATTATTATGACAATAGTTTTGACGTCACATACAACCTAAAAGGTGATTTCCAGTGGCCCCCAAACTAACTTTGGAAACCATTCATATAGAAGAAAATTGAGCTATCTGAATATTTTTAAAATAAGCAATTCTTCCAAAAAGAAGTCATTGTTAAACTTCTTTTCTAGCAGCTATCTTGGATTCTAAGGATCTCCTTTGTTTGTTTGAAGATTAGGACAATACACAGAAATTAAAGGGCCAGTCCACCTTCCTGCATCCTGCCACCATGTTCACACACAAACCCTAAGCAGGTATAAGCTTTCATTCTTATCTTTATGATAGCCTACTCTTCTCTTAGAACAAATCAACTTCAGGGCTGTGCTCACAGGCCAGACAAAAGATAGGCAGATATTGATTTTACCAGGAATGGCAGAATGATTATGTCCTCATCTTCTCTTTGTACAGCAAACTCTTGTCATCCTTAAAGCGCGTGGGTGCATAGGCACACACATACACACATCCCATCTTGATCTTCAAACATAGGAAAGCATTTATTGAAATCGTTTTCATAAGGAAACATCACTGTAATATTGAAATATAAATTCTTAAAAACACCATGATTTCTATAACTCATTTTTTCTAGTACTGGCATCAAAGTGAGTTTTCTTATTAAATGTCATTGAATGTTTTGCCACCAAAGATTTGGCCTTATGTTCTTACAATCATATATTGTCTCTCTGTGTTTCTTTCAATATCAGCAATTAACATACTTGGAATGGAACTTCAATCTACAATATTACTCTCTTCTTAGAAACATGGGCATTTTAAATAATTATCAAAACCACTGCAAAGTTGGTACTCCAAGCTACTGAAAAATGACTTTCATTAATTTGATATGCAAGAAAAATATATCCTGCTTTTTTACTTCATAATTTTTAATATTATGTTGACTTTTAAAAGACCTAAAAAGAATAAAGTTTACATTCTGACAGCTAGAGTCAAAATTAATGTAAAGAACAATGCCTGAGGTGAAAGTGATTTCATTAATAAATAACAGAACCTGGGTTGCGGAAGACACTAGTTCTCAGTGTAAAAGAACCCCAAATATGCAATCATGAATATTTCCGTTCCCTTTTTTCAAGCAGATATTAAGATAAGTGGGCTGGCTCCCCAAACCATTTTTATAATCATGTCTTCAATAAACACTTTTATGAACTTTATATTTGAATATCATCAAGACACATTTATTACTTAGAGGCAGGTATTAGGGATGGGAATTGTAGGTCTTCAGTAATCAGAAGACAAACTTGTTGGAAGCTAGATAGTTTTCAGTTTATTTGTCTTATTCAAGAAGGTAGGAAATATAACTGCTGTAGTCAGAGAGTGATAGTAATCTTGTCATCAAAATCGCATATTTTCGACAGTTTTGAGTACATTTAATAGGATGTATATTGATTTAAGTTATTCTTAGAAAAAAGAAAGTGCTGCATTAAGAAAACAGCTAACTTCTATAATCTTTTGGTTGGAGAATGAAAAACTTAAGAGTATAATTAATATCAGTTATCTTCATTTCTCTCAATCAAATCTTGCACTTTGATCTTCTGCCTAATTATTCTAGGAAAAAATCTAATTTTTTTCTAATATCCATCCTTGTTGATAGAAAAAAAATAAAAGAATGAATGCACAGCTCTTTGATTCTTTTGGCTCACTTTAGAGTATTTAGAAAATTATAGAAATCTCTTCTAAAAATCAAAGTCACCTGGATTCCTTCCACCTTGAGAGATCCAGTAATTTATTGTATTGTGGTATATTCCACAGAGCAATATTCTGTATCCCCAGACATCATTCTAAAGCATTATTTTCAATGGTAGAATGAGGTAAATAAATAAACAGTAAGTCATTTGCCTCATGGTTACAAAAGAATATCGAGTTCACAAAGATCTGATGTATCAATAGGAGGAGGCAGTTCTGAATGCTAAATCAAATTATACCTTTTCCTGTTGGGATTTCAACATCTGCCTCAATGTAGATTGATGAGAATAAAGGAGGCCATCAGAGGCCCTTTGTCTGTGCTTGTTTGGGTGAAACAGCTGACAAGTGGCCATCAGATTACCCACAGAGGGGCAGCTGTGAGATAAGAGTTTGACAGCTGACTTCATTATAATTCCTAGGCTACAGACTGCAATGGATTTGTCCTTTAATTGAGCTGGGCCAGAGAACTGCCCAGAGAGGAAATGGGAGGAAAATGCTTGGATACTGATAACAACGGCAAAAGTAGCAGGTAAATCCCACTCTATGACAGAACAAATAGTATCAGGACAATCCTGGGAAAAAAAAAAAAGCAAAACATGTTTTGGTATGTTGAGCATTTCAATCGCTTCAATTGAAATTCCTGTAAGTTGACTATTGGAATGTTTTTAGAAATTTCTTTATTAATCCGGATCATTTTCCCCTTAGCAGGCAATTGTCTGCTAAAAAAAAGCATAAAAATAATATTTGCCTATCACTTCCTTTGCCACATGCTTTTGAATGCTATGTATCAAGAGAAGTTTCTCGAAAGCATAGGAGCAACTAGGAGATTTATGTACAAAAAAGCAAAGATTTTCTATGGTTAACAAGATTTTGGAGAAATTTGTGACAGAAAAAAGGAAACAAACTGTAGCTTGTCAAATTATATGGTTCACCATGATTCAACATGTATAGATATATTTAGGAACATAAAACAGCATAAGGTCAAATATTCCTTAGTGAAATCTTGCAAACTGAAATATCAAAGGCAACTGGATTTACCAAAACATGTATGTCAAAATAATTCACTATTTCATATTAAAACAAAGATAATTTAAAACTGCATACAATGTGAAAATGTTACAGATTTTTACTTTGGGAAATAACTTTGTAACGGGCTTTGGCATTTAAATATATGTGCTTCTGTAATTCACCTTCTTTTGCTTCTACTACATTTTTCTCCCCATTCACGATAAGAGTCAGTGTGAAATCACTAAAAATTCACACTGGTCATAAATAAAATAATGCATATTGTTCAATGTCATTGTGATAAATGCTTTTTGTGAATATATCTATTTCTATTAGCATATTATTTTATATATTGAAACTTTTATTATTTGCAAATATAGGATCAAATGAATAAATTAACCACAATAATTCAACCATTTTTTTGTTAATATTTTCTGTTTCCTTTCTCAGAAAATTTTTGCGAGATCATCACAAGAAGAAAAGTCTAAATGTATTATTATTGTTTACTCTTCCTGTCTATGAATGCAAAGCCAGAAATGTGAAATATTTAAATAATAATCAAAAGAAAATCTAGATGATGTTATATTGATAATTGTTTTTAGAATCATGGAATTTTATGCACTCAAATATCTAATGATCATTTACTCAAATCACTCCTTTCTTTTGGGGAGCAAAAATCAATGTAGAGATGGAATTCATCATAAGACTCACAACTTGTTAACAGAGATCTTCTGAACAGAGGAATTTGAAGTCCGCTTTATTGAGACCAAGAGTTGGATATCACTGTCAGGCTTTTCACACGATGTCAATACTTAATTCAAGAAGGACATTCCCTTAATATAACATAGTGGTTGAGAATACAGGCTCTGAGCTAAATTGCCCAAGAGCAAATTCCACCTCTGCCATCTACTATTCATCTATTCTTGGACAAGTCATTTTCAAATATCTTTGAACCTGATTCCTTATCTGTAAATTTAGTTGGCTAATATTATCTACTTTAAAATATTACAGGTTGTGTGTGTGTGTGTGTGTGTGTGATGATTAATACATGTATAACCCTTAGAACATGTATAAAGTAAGCTTAATATTAAAGGAAGTGTTAACTATGTTCCACTCTCTTCACCCCAGTTATCCGATTTTTAGAATAAATAAACTAATTAATAAAAATGAGTACATTAAAAATTGCATTTTATGTTAATTTCTTAGAATAAGTAAAATAATAATAAAATAAATATACAATATAAAAATAAGTGCTCTCTTATGAAAATAGTATCCAGTAATAGATTTTCCAAAACTATCTACCTATATTATTTGAGAAAATAAACATTCAAGAATAAAATATCCAACTCAGAAGGATCAATTCTAGAGACAGTTTCTGATTTACTCTCCTGGAGATTTTGCTTCACTTGTTGCCCCCTTTTCTTGTAATGATTTCCACAGTTACTAATCCCTTCACATCCAGGGGAAAAAATGGAAAAATGAAAACAGAGAGAAAGGATACTAAAATTAGTCAAGCTCTGATATGACCACGGCAAATCTATTGCCAGAGAAGGAGGTGCAGATTTATTTTATACCCTTATTTGAATTTTGGTGATGGGGTCCAGACTTCATCTTGTTTTCTGCTGTCTAGAATATTGTCTTCCTAGATTTTTTTTACCTCAATCAAATATTATTTTTAAACAACAATTGTTTTGCTGATATGCCCAATCAACTTGCCATTATGAGAGAGACATGGTATTAGCACTATTTTATAAAATGGTGGCGATTAATACGTAGCCCTAAAAATCCCGTGGTTTTGTCTCTTTCCCTCCAACAGATAGGACAATGATCTCTTGAAAGACTTCCCGTAATAGGTCACAGAATAATAATATCTTAATACCTCAACACCATAATTTACATGTGATAAAATTTAGCACACACGTAAGATGGGGCAGGTTTTCCCACAAACTCCAAAACACCAGTGACATTTTTAGAAATTAAATGTGTCTATTAAGTAACGGCCACTAAAATTAAATTACATGTATGCCATACACTGTGTTTCTTTACCAAGTAAGATAATGGAAAGAAGTACAGCTTATTGACCGCTAATGTAATGCCTTGCAATGCCTTGCTTGTAAAAAATGCCAACCTAATTTTTTTCACCTCTAGGAGTTTGTCTGGTGGCTGTAATGCTAAAATGATGCTTCTTTGGTCAGGTCCAGGGTGGGTCCCTACTCTCAGACATCAACATTGATATGAGGATCATACATAATCTCTTTCTCATTCTGAATTACCTAAACCCAGGCATTCAAATGAGTAGTTTAAAAGACTAAGGTTGGAAAACCACCTTAAAATATAAAAGCCCTGAACGTGACTTTTAGCTTCACTTGAAGGGTATCTGTGAACCAGATACACATTTTCACAGTTACTCCTTCAGATGAAATTTGGCTTTGGTAAGAAATGGCTGTAGGAATAGCTCACCGCAATCCTTCAGAGCTGTTACAATTTAATCTTCAGAAAATTCTATGAAAGTGATGTATTTATGTCAGTACTGGTATAGATACTAGAACAAGAAGAACACTGAAAGCGACTAAAGATTAATTTAGCCTCCTATATTCAGGTACTGCTAATCAAGGACCCAAAATCAAGTGATGAGGGATAGAGAAGGAAGAAAAAAATGAAAAAAACAGGTGCACTCAATCCAAATTTGTCTAGTTAGCTAAATATTGGGACTTTTTTAGTCTGAGACAAAATACTTAAAAAATAAAAAGTCTAAGTTTAAGTAGGAACCATTTTCCCAAAAACATCACATAATCTGTTATGGCATTAGGGAACTTAAAATTCACCTCATTCTGTTAGAGTTCTCCTTTATCTCTGACACAGAGTGATCATTATTTCATCTCAAGTATAAGCATTTAAAGCTGTAGTTTCCCATTTATCACAGACTAAGCTGTATCCCACAAATTTTGATGTGCTGAATCACTATTACAATTCAGTTTGAAATAATTTTCAAATTTATTTGTGATTTTTTTCTTTGACCCATGGGTCATATAGAAGTGTAGTGTTTGATTAGAAAATATTTTTAGTTATCCAGAGAATTGTGTGGTTTTAATCCCTTCTCACCAGAGAGTATACTCTATATTATTTATTTTCAATTTATTAGGACTTCCTTTATATTTCCACATAGGGTCTCTCTTGGTGAACATGCCATATGCTCAAGAAAATCATATATTTTTTCTGTTTGGTGAATGCAGTGTTCTATAATATCAATTAGGTCAAGGCAATTGACACTATTATTGAAGCAATCTAGCTATTGATTTTTTTTGTTTGTTTCTTGGTCTAGGCATTCTATCAATTGACAAGAGTGATGTTAAAATTTCCAACTGTGATTGTGAAATACTGTCAGTTTCTGTTTCATATGTTTTAAAGTTCCGGTATTAGGCACATGAAGCTATATAATTGTATTTATTCCTGATAAATTGAACATTTTATCATTATGAAATATCACTCATTACCTTTGGAAATATTTTTCTCTCAAAGAATAGGTTGCCTGATATTAACATAGCCATCTCAGCCTTCTTAGGCTTGCTGTAAGCATGACAAACCTTTTTCCATTGATTTGTTTTCAACTTATCTCTGTCTTTGTATTTAAAGGGAATCAATTAGAGATAACAGATAGTCAAGTCTTTCATGTTTTTTTAATCCTTTCTGATAGTCACTGACTTTTAATTGGAGTGCTTAGTCCGTTAACATTTAATATGATTATTGATGTAGCTGTGATTTAGTTCTTCCCTTTTGCTTTTCGTTTTCTGTTACTTGTTTCTATTTTTTAGTTCTTTCTTTCCTATATTCTACTTGATTAATTTGGTATTATTAGTATTCTGTTTTAATGTTACAATAGGCTTTTTCGACTTCCCCATTTACATTAATTTTTAGTGGTGGTTGTAGGGATTATAATATATGTTCTTAATTTTTATGTGTATTTAGTGTTAATACTGTACCATCTCACATTATGTGTAGAAAACTTCTATCTTTCGTATTAAGTTGTTATATATATCACAAACACTTAAAATTGTAACCCCCCGCAAGAGACAATGTAATAATATTTGTTTTAAATCATCGTACTTTTTTTATTAAAGGGAACAAAAATAGTACTAGTCTGTTGGAAATAAATTATCTTACTTTTTCTTCTTTTTTTAGAAAGTGGCATTATTTCATCTTCATTCTTAAAAGGTAATTTTGCTGGTTATAGAATTCAGAGTTGGGTTTGTTTTTCATTTTTGCTTTCAAGATATTGGTTCACTGCTTTCTTCGCTGCAGATTTTCTCATGAGAAATCAGTGTTAATTCAAATGACTCTTCCTCTGTAGATAATATGCTGGGGTGTTTTTTGTCTGCTTTCAAGATTTTTTCTATCTTTGGCATTTGTAGTTTCACCTAATGTGCCGTAGGCATGGTTTTCTTTGCAGTTATTCTGCTTGATATTTGCAAAATATTATGAATCTTTACATGTTTCACCAAATTGGAAAAATGTTGAACATTGTTTTCTTAAATATATTTCCCACCCCATTCTTACTCTTGTCTTCTTCTGGGACTGTTATTACATGAATGTTAGATCTTTTTATATAGTTCCATATGTTCTTGAAGATCTATTCTTTTTTATTTAATTTTTATCACTTGATTGATTAGGTTTATTTTCTGTCATCTGCATTATTCGTTAAGAGTTCACTTTTTACAAAATCTCAGATATTTTATGTTGTACTTATATAATATCTATTCGGTTTCTTTTTTAATAGTTGCTGCTTCCTTGCTGATAGTTCCTTTTGTTTTATTCATTGTAAGCATAATTTCTCTTACATTCTTGAATAGTGTATAATTGCTGTTAAAAATATTTGTCTGCTCATTGTAATATCAATTATCTCAGGATTGTCTTTTCTATTCCAAATGGGTCAAATATTTTTGGTTTTTCATGTGTAGAATGATTTTAGATTGTATTTTGAGTATTGTTAAGTCATAGAGTCTTAGGACTTTGCTTTTTTCATTTGTAAAATTTTTAATTTTGTTGTTCTTTTTATTGTTTTAGCAGGCATTTAACTTGTAGAAATTCAACTGAAAATTCTTTATCTCAAATCTCAGTTTAGTCTAGTCTGTTTATCCTTTGCTGGAGTCTGTCATGAGCAGGTGTGAAAGTGTAGCAAAGAGAAGTGAAACAGATTCGGGCAGAGTTTATACAAAAAAATTTGGTTTTTATTTTTTTTCTAGCCTCACCTCTACTTGATCCCCTCTACTTTCAAGCATCTATTAATTGTCTCAAACTCAGTTCTCTTGCTCATCAGGACTCACAATCATGTTTTCAAAGTTTTAGCTGCTTTGTGTGCAGCTCACTTTGACTAAACACTTAACAAATAGAAAATCATACAAGCTATCCTTTCTTCCAAGTTTTTACTCCTCCCAAAACCTGTCTGCTGTTGCTCACTTACTGTCACTGTGGTTTTTTTTAATTGACCTGTTGGTGGTTCTCATATGCATAAGGATTAGGTCCTGTTTGAAATTACTTTGTTATACCAGAAGTAGGACACCGATCTTTTTTTCCCATAAGTTATTGGGGTACAGGTGGTATTTAGTTACATGAGTAAGTTCTTTAGTGGTGATTTGTGAGAGTTTGGTACACCCATTATCCGAACAGTATATACTGCACTATATTTGTTGTCTTTTACCCCCCACTCCTCCCGCCAAGTCCCCAAAGTCCATTGTATCATTCTTATACCTTTGCGACCTCATAGCTTAGCTCCCACATATCAGTGAGAACACACCATGTTTGGTATCCCATTCCTGAGTTACTTCACTTAGAATAATAGTCTCCAATCTCATCTAGTTACTGCAAATGGTGTTAATTCATTCCTTTTTATGGCCGAGTAGTATTCCATCATATATATATACCACAGTTGTTGTTTTTTTGTTACTATTTATTTTTTTAATTTTTTGAGGCAGAGTCTCACTCTTTTGCCCAGGCTAGAGTGAAGTGGTGTGATCTCGGCTCACTGCAACCTCTGCCCCCCAAGTTCAAGTGATTCTCCTGCCTCAGCCTCCCGAGTAGCTGGAATCACAGGTGTCCACCACCACACCTGGCTAATTTTTGTATTTTTAGTAGAGACAGGGTTTCACCATGTTGGCCAGGCTGGTCTTGAACTCCTGACCTCAGGTGATCTGCCTGTCTTGGCCTCCCAAAGTGCTGAGATTACAGGTGTGAGCCACCATGCCCAGCCATACCACAGTTTCTTTATTCACTCTTTGATTGATGGGCATTTGGGTTGGTTGCACAATTTTGCAATTGTGAATTGTGCTGCTATAAACATGCATGTGCAAGTTATCTTTTTCAAATAACGACTTATTTTCCTCTGGGTAGATACCCAGTAGTGGGATTGCTGGATCAAATGGTAGTCCTACTTTCAGTTCTTTAAGGATTCTCCACACTGTTTTCCATGGTGGCTGTATTAGTTTACATTCCCACCAGCAGTGTAGAAGTGTTCCCTGATCAATGCATCCACGCCAACATCACTGTTTTTATTTTTTGATTATGGCCATTCTTGTAGGAGTAAGGTGGTGTCTCATTGTGGTTTAGATTTGCATTTCCCTGATCATTAGTGACGTTTAGCATTTTTTCATATGTTTGTTGGCCATTTGTATATCTTCTTTTGAGAATTGTCTATTTATGTCCTCAGCCCACTTTTTGATAACGTTGTTTGTTTTTTTCTTACTGATTAGTTTGAGTTCATTGTAGATTCTGGGTATTAGCTTTTTGTCAGATGTACAGATTGTGAAGATTTTCTCCCACTCTGTAGGTTGTTTACTCCACTGACTGTTCCTTTTGCTGTGCAATTGCTCTTTAGTTTAATAGGTCCCAGCTATCTATCTTTGTTTTTATTGCATTTGCTTTTGGATTCTTGGTCATGAAAGCCTTGCCTAAGCCAATGTCTAGAAGGGTTTCTCCAATGTTATCTTCTAGAATTTTTATAATTTCAGGCCTTAAGTCCTTCATCCATCTTGAGTTGAGTTTTGTATAAGGTGAGAGATGAGGATCCAGTTTCATTCTCCTACATATGGTTAGCCAATTATTCCATCACCATTTGTCGAAAAGGGTGTCCTTTCCCCACTTTATGTTTTTGTTTGCTTGTTGAAGATCAGTTGGCTGTAAGTATTTGGGTTTATTTCTGCATTCTCTATTCTGTTTCATTGGTCTATGTGCCTATTTTTATACCAGTATCACCCTGTTTTGGTGACTATGACCTTATAGTATAGTTTGAAATCAGGTAGTGTGATGCTTCCAGATTTGTTCTTTTGCTTTGTCTTTCTTTGGCTATGTAGGCTCTTTTTGGTTCCATATAAATTTTAGAATTGTTTTTTCTAATATTCTGAAGAATGATGGTGGTATTTTGATAGGGATTGCATTGAATTTGTAGATTGCTTTTGGCAGTATGGTCATTTTCACAATATTGATTCTACCCATTCATGAGCATAGGATGTGTTTCCATTTGTTTGTGTTGTCTATGATTTCTTTCAGCAGTGTTTGGTAGTTTTCCTTGTAGAGGTCTTTCAACTCCTTGGTTAGGTATACTCCTAAGTTGTTTTTTGTTTTTTGTTTTTTGTTTTTTTGGCAGCTATTGTAAAAGGGGTTGAGTTCTTTTTTTTTTTTTTTTTTTTTGAGATGGAGTCTCCCTCTGTAGCCCAGTCTGGAGTACAGTGGAGCGATCTCGGCTCACTGCAAGCTCCGCCTCCCAGGTTCACGCCATTCTCCTGCCTCGGCCTCCCGAGTAGCTGGGACTACAGGCACCCGCCACCACACCTGGCTCATGTTTTGTATTTTTAGTAGAAATGGGGTTTCACCGTGTTAGCCAGGATGGTCTCTATCTCCTGACCTCATGATCTGCCTGCCTGGGCCTCCCAAAGTGCTGGGATTACAGGCGTGAGCCACCACGCCTGGCAGGGGTTGAGTTCTTGATTTGATTCTCTGCTTGGTCGGTGTTGGTGTGTAGAATTTCTTTCTTCTACTTGTTCAATTCTATTACTGAGACTTTTCAGAGCATTTTGCATTTCTAAAAGTGTGTCAAAAGTTTCCTGAATTTTTTATTTTTTTTTCTTTAAGCTATCTATTTCCTTGAATATTTCTACCTTCACTTCTTGCATCGTTTTTTGGATTCCTTGCATTGGGCTTTGCCTTTCTCTGGTGCCTCTCTGATTAGCTTAATAACTAACCTCCTGAATTCTTTCTCAGGTAAATCAAGGATTTCTTCTTGGTTTGGCTCCATTGCTGGTGAACTAGTGTGATTTTTTTGGGGGGTGTTAAAGAGTCTTGTTTTGTCATATTACCAGGGTTGTTTTTCTGGTTCCTTCTCATTTGGGTAGGCCCTGTCAGAGGGAAGGTCTAGGGCTGAAGGCTGTTGTTCAGATACTTTTGTCCCATGGGGTGTTCCCTTGATGTAGTATTCTCCCCCTTTTCCTAGGGATGTGGCTGCCTGTGAGCTGAACTGCAGTGATTGTTGTCTCTCTTCTGGGTCTAGCCACCCAGCGAGTCTACCCGGCTGTGGGCTGGTGCTGGGGATTGTCTGCACAGAGTCCTGTGATGTGAACCATCTATGGGTCTCTCAGCTGTGGATACCAGCACTTGTTCTGGTGGAGATGGTTGTGGGGGCGGGGGGTGGCGGGGTGGCAATGGACTGCGTGAGGGCTCTTAGCTTTGGTGGTTTAATGCTCTATTTTTGTGCTTATTGGCCTCCTGCCAGGAGGTGGCACTTTCCAGAGACCCTCAGCTGTAGTAGTATGGAGAGGGATGAGCCATGGGCAGAGCCCTAGAACTCCCAAGATTATATGCCCTTTGTCTTCCACTACCAGGGAGGGTAGAGAAGGACCATCAGATTGGGGCAGGGTTACGCATGTCTGAGCTCAGGTTCTCCTTGGGCTGGTCTTGCTGCGGCTGCTGTGGGGAATAGGGATGAGACTCTCAGGTCACTAAAGTTGTATACCTACTGATTATGGGTGCCTCTGCTGACTCATGCTGGTTGTCAGGGAAGTGGAAGAAAGCCAGCAGTTACAGGACTCACTCAGCACTCACACAAACTGAAGGGCCCGGTCTCACTCCTACCGTGCCCCCCACAACAGCCCTGAGTCTGTTTCCAGGTGGTGGGCGAGAGGGGTTTGAAAATTTGCCCCAGGCTATCCGCCTCCCAGCTGGGCAAGAAAAGGGCGTGGTTGTTCCCCCACTGAGGAGTCTGCACACCGGATTTGCATCTTCCCCTGAGTTCTGGCCTGGAGGCTTCTCGCCCCTGCAAATTGTTACAAAGTTCAGCTAGAGGGTTCCTTCTTCCTGTGGAGTTTTACCTTCTGCTCCTCTGGCCACCCTCCTGATGGATCCCTGTGGTGCCAGGCAGGAATGACCTGCTTAAGGACCCAGCGAGCTCCCAGGACCTTTCTGCTGCTTCCTCTACCCGTATATTTTGCTTGCTTCTCTACATTGACTCAGCTCCAGGTAAGGTTGGAAATTTCTCCCACAAACAGCCCTTCAGTTTCTCCAGTGGGGGTGTGTGTTTCTCGGGAGAGGAGGGTCTCTCTCTTTCTCACTTCCACAGTTGGGGCATTCACAGTATTTGGGGTGTCCCCTGGGTCCTGCAGGAGCAGCCCACTTCCCTCAAAGGGTCTGTGGGTCCTCCCAGGATTGCCGGTTTGTTCCTGCAGTCGATCGGGAGCTAAAATTCACAACGGGAGCCTCTGCACACCGCTCTGTCCGGAGCTGCAATCTAGTCCTGCCTCCTGTCTGCCATAATAGATCCTCCATTTGATCATTTTTTCTCCAAGCACAAGAAGCTTCAAACATCTAAGACTATTCGAGCTTATTGTGCTGGTTACCTAGTTCTATAAAGGATTATGAGTTGCCCAGTTATCATTTTCCTAAATGTCTATCAATAAATGGAGGCCGAGAAAGAGTTCTTTTGGGGCAGAAAGAATGCTATAGCCACATGTAAATATCCAAGAAACCATGGAAGCTGCAATGCACATTCTAGTTTTAATATAAATAATTAAAAAACCTTAGAAACACAAGCAGAGAAGTGGGGGTATTTATCTATTTAACGATCTTTCTGAATTAAACTTCCTCTCCTTTATCCACCAAAATATCTGTAAATATTGCAAGGTTCTGTATGATAAAAGACATGGTGCAGTCTTTTGAATGAACTCTCAATAAGGAATGTAATTAGAGTCATGTTGTCTGATAGCAGTGATGCTCTGAGTCAATCATCCATGGCATCTTAGCGATTTCATTGATAATAGAATTCATAGAATACATTCTTAAAACTAGAGACTGAACATACAGTCACAAAAAAAAGGGTAACTGAGGAAAAAGAAATCAATTCAAAAAATAAGATTTTATTAAATAATGGGAGAATAAATGATTATGGATTTATGTAAATCCTTAAGCCATCTTGATCTAAAACCATTATCATGTAGTTATCTAAGACTTAAAACTTGATCAAGGAAAGATATAAATTTTTTTGTTAAACAATGGATACAAAATTGATAGAAACAATTATTTGGGATTTCGAGGATATGTGTGTGTGTGTATATGCATGTGCAAATGTATTCAATAGAGTATTTTTAAAGCAAGACTTCCAGTAGAATGCAGCCATAAAAAAAAAGCAACATCGTGCCCTTTGCAGGAAGATGGATGGAGGTAGAGGCCATTATCCCTAACAAACTAACACAGGAACAGAAAACCAAATAGCCAAATACCACTTGTTGTCACTTTTAACTGGGAGCCAAATGATGAGAACACATGGACACATAGAGGGCAACAACAGACATTGGGGCTGACCTGAGGGTAGAGGTTGTGAAGAGGGAGAGGAGCAGGAAAAATTACTAAGGGGTACTAGGCTTAATACCTGGGTGAAGAAATAATCTGTGCAACCACTGTGACTTGAGTGTACCTACAAAGGAAACCTACACACGTACCCCTGAACTTAAAGTAAAAGTTTAAAAAAAGAAACTGGGCTGGGCGCAGTGGCTCATGCCTGTAATTCCAGCACTTTGGGAGGCCGAGGCGCGCGATCACGAGGTCAAGAGATCGAGACCATCCTGGCCAACATGGTGAAACCCCGTCTCTACTAAAAATACAAAAATTAGCCGGGCGTGGTGGCGGGCGCCTGTAGTCCCAGCTATTCAGGAGGCTGAGGCAGGAGAATCGCTTGAACCTGGGAGGCAGAGGTTGCAGTGAGCCGAGATCGCGCCACTGCACTCCAGCCTGGCTACAGAGCAAGACCCCGTCTCAAGTAAAAAAAAAAAAAAAAAGAAAAAGAAAAAAAAAAGAAAATAAATAAAAATTGAAAAAGAAACTGCCAGCACAAAGAGGATCTAACATGTTTTTCTTGTCGCTTCTTTCCTATTTTCATTCTAATTTATCAATCCTACTGAAAAGCTTAGACTAAGGTTTAGTTTCTTAATATAATTTTCATTTTTATTATTTAATCCAATGTAAATTTTTATTAGACTACTCAATTTTAATACCAATTTCTCTGCATTTTCTAATGAGTTTCATCACTGTGGGGCACTGTATATTGCTATCAGATTGGTAGGGGGAGTGCATATTAGTTATCAGACTTCCCATAAATAATGCATATTCACTTAGGCAGTTTGGGTCAATACTGAAAGTTATTTCTTAAGGAAAGTAGAAATTGTCAAGTTAAAGAATAGGAGAAAGCAAATTGAAAAGAGAAAGGTGCTGAATTGTTGATCCTCCAGAGAGTAAGAATGTGTGATGAGTGCTGGAACACTCTGGGTAAATTTTTCTATTATGCTTTTGATGTTTAAATACTGAGCTTCATATTCAAAAGCTAGTTAATTGAAGAGGTTTTCCTGAAAGCTGTAGTAGAAAGACTCATGACCAAGCTACCTAATAACTTAATTATCTGGGTTTTATTTTATCATAATACCTAAATCAAAGAGAGGTTTCAAAAGAAATGGGAAATTTCCATGTTGGTTAGAGTTGAATGTGGCTGATTTCTCATTTACTATTAATGAAATAGAAGTTAGTTTAACTGGCAGGAAATTAATCAATATAAAGCTAAAATCATTACAGTTGTATGTTTTATTACGTATAGTAATTATACCTCTAGTAATATGCATTTTCTTACTTAACTCAAGGTAATAATTTAAAATATTATTAGGTATTAGATACATAGACATTCAGTATGTTGTTCATTATGGGAAAAAAACAATATAAATGTCTAAAATTATACTGTTTTGGAAAAATATTTAACAACCCATAAAATGATCATAAAAATGATATTAAATTTAAAAGGATAATAAAAATTAGTATATACCCTATGAATTCATTTTGTAAAATATCATTAAAAAATAATAAAACTATGCATATATAATACATTAACAATGCTTACCTCTCCATATAAGGATTATAAGTGTTTATAAATATTTTCTTCTATTGCTTATGTTTCTTTTGTGAGTGTCCTAAAATTAACATATTGCTTTTGCATGAGGAAATGAAATGAATAAATTTTAAAAATATTTAATAAAATTTATTTTTCCATACAATTTATTTTTATTTTATTTAAATCAAATTTATTTTTCAATTCTTATATATTTACAGAACAAGTTAGCAGAAAGTACATAAAGTTTAGTATATCTACCCCACACCCATCCCAGACACACAGATTTTCCTATAATTAACATCTTGCTTTTATTTGGTACATTTCTTACAATTAATGAGCCAATACTGGTAAGTTTTTCAGAACTATCATTTATACTTTTGAATTTTAATAAAGTCAAATTTATCAATTTTTTTTCTTTAATCACACTGTTAGTGTTATATCTAAAAGCTCATTGACAAACCTAATGTCATCTAGGTTTTTTCCAATGCTGTATTCTAAAATTTTTATAGTTTTGTGTTTTGCACTTAGATTTATTTTATATTAATTTTTGTGCAATGTGTAAGGCTATGTCTAGATTCATATTTTTGCAAATAGATATCAAGTTGTTCCAGCACCATTTGTTGAAAATATTATTCTTTCTCCATTAAATTGCCTTTGTTTTTTTGAAATAGATAAGTTGGCAATATTTGTGTTGCTCTCTATTCTGCTCTACTTATCAATTTGTCTATTACTTCCCCAATACATACTATCTTTTTTTTTAAATTTTCTTTTTTTTTATTATTATTATACTTTAAGTTTTAGGGTACATGTGCACATTGTGCAGGTTAGTTACATATGTATACATGTGCCATGCTGGTGCGCTGCACCCACTAACTCGTCATCTAGCATTAGGTATATCTCCCAATGCTATCCCTCCCCCCTCCCCCCACCCCACAACAGTCCCCAGAGTGTGATGTTCCCCTTCCTGTGTCCATGTGATCTCATTGTTCAGTTCCCACCTATGAGTGAGAATATGCAGTGTTTGGTTTTTTGTTCTTGCGATAGTTTACTGAGAATGATGATTTCCAATTTCATCCATGTCCCTACAAAGGACATGAACTCATCATTTTTTATGGCTGCATAGTATTCCATGGTGTATATGTGCCACATTTTCTTAATCCAGTCTATCATTGTTGGACATTTGGGTTGGTTCCAAGTCTTTGCTATTGTGAATAATGCCGCAATAAACATACGTGTGCATGTGTCTTTATAGCAGCATGATTTATAGTCCTTTGGGTATATACCCAGTAATGGGATGGCTGGGTCAAATGGTATTTCTAGTTCTAGATCCCTGAGGAATCGCCACACTGACTTCCACAATGGTTGAACTAGTTTACAGTCCCACCAACAGTGTAAAAGTGTTCCTATTTCTCCATATCCTCTCCAGCACCTGTTGTTTCCTGACTTTTTAATGATTGCCATTCTAACTGGTGTGAGATGATATCTCATTGTGGTTTTGACTTGCATTTCTCTGATGGCCAGTGATGGTGAGCATTTTTTCATGTGTTTTTTGGCTGCATAAATGTCTTCTTTTGAGAAGTGTCTGTTCATGTCCTTCGCCCACTTTTTGACGGGGTTGTTTGTTTTTTTCTTGTAAATTTGTCTGAGTTCATTGTAGATTCTGGATATTAGCCCTTTGTCAGATGAGTAGGTTGCAAAAATTTTCTCCCATTCTGTAGGTTGCCTGTTCACTCTGATGGTAGTTTCTTTTGCTGTGCAGAAGCTCTTTAGTTTAACTAGATCCCATTTGTCAATTTTGTCTTTTGTTGCCATTGCTTTTGGTGTTTTAGACATGAAGTCCTTGCCCATGCCTATGTCCTGAATGGTAATGCCTAGGTTTTCTTCTAGGGTTTTTATGGTTTTAGGTCTAACGTTTAAGTCTTTAATCCATCTTGAATTGATTTTTGTATAAGATGTAAGGAAGGGATCCAGTTTCAGCTTTCTACATATGGCTAGCCAGTTTTCCCAGCACCATTTATTAAATAGGGAATCCATTCCCCATTGCTTGTTTTTCTCAGGTTTGTCAAAGATCAGATAGTTGTAGATATGTGGCGTTATTTCTGAGGGCTCTGTTCTGTTCCATTGGTCTATATCTCTGTTTTGGTACCACTACCATGCTGTTTTGGTTACTGTAGCCTTGTAGTATAGTTTGAAGTGTGGTAGTGTGATGCCTCCAGCTTTGTTCTTTTGGCTTAGGATTGACTTGGTGATGCAGGCTCTTTTTTGGTTCCATATGAACTTTAAAGTAGTTTTTTCTAATTCTATGAAGAAAGGCATTGGTAGCTTGATGGGGATGGCATTGAATCTGTAAATTACCTTGGGCAGTATGGCCATTTTCACGGTATTGATTCTTCCTACCCACGAGCATGGAATGTTCTTCCATTTGTTTGTATCCTCTTTTATTTCCTTGAGCAGTGGTTTGTAGTTCTCCTTGAAGAGGTCCTTCACATCCCTTGTAAGTTGGATTCCTAGGTATTTTATTCTCTTTGAAGCAATTGTGAATGGGAGTTCACTCATGATTTGGCTCTCTCTTTGTCTGTTGTTGGTGTATAAGAATGCTTGTGATTTTGGTACATTGATTTTGTATCCTGAGACTGCTGAAGTTGCTTATCAGCTTAAGGAGATTTTGGGCTGAGACAATGGGGTTTTCTAGATATACAATCATGTCGTCTGCAAACAGGGACAATTTGACTTCCTCTTTTCCTAATTGAATACCCTTTATTTCCTTCTCCTGCCTAATTGCCCTGGCCAGAACTTCCAACACTATGTTGAATAGGAGCGGTGAGAGAGGGCATCCCTGTCTTGTGCCAGTTTTCAAAGGGAATGCTTCCAGTTTTTGCCCATTCAGTATGATATTGGCTGTGGGTTTGTCATAGATAGCTCTTATTATTTTGAAATACGTCCCATCAATACCTAATTTATTGAGATTTTTTAGCATGAAGGGTTGTTGAATTTTGTCAAAGGTCTTTTCTGCATCTATTGCAAAATCAAGGCAGAAATAAAGATGTTCTTTGAAACCAACGAGAACAAAGACACAACATACCTGAATCTCTGGGATGTATTCAAAGCAGTATGTAGAGGGAAATTTATAGCACTAAATGCCCACAAGAGAAAGCAGGAAAGATCCCAAATTGACACCCTAACATCACAATTAAAAGAACTAGAAAAGCAAGAGCAAACACATTCAAAAGCTAGCAGAAGGCAAGAAATAACTAAAATCAGAGCAGAACTGAAGGAAATAGAGACACAAAAAACCCTTCAAAAAATTAATGAAGCCAGGAGCTGATTTTTTGAAAGGATCAACAAAATAGATAGACCGCTAGCAAGACTAATAAAAAAAAAAAGAGAGAAGAATCAAATAGACGCAATAAAAAATGATAAAGGGGATATCACCACCGATCCCACAGAAATACAAACTACCACCAGAGAATACTACAAACACCTCTACGCAAATAAACTAGAAAATCTAGAAGAAATGGATAAATTCCTCGACACATACACTCTCCCAAGACTAAACCAGGAAGAAGCTGAATCTCTGAATAGACGAATAACAGGATCTGAAATTGTGGCAATAATCAATAGCTTACCAACCAAAAAGAGTCCAGGACCAGATGGATTCACAGTCGAATTCTACCAGAGGTACAAGGAGGAACTGGTACCATTCCTTCTGAAACTATTCCAATCAATAGAAAAAGAGGGAATCCTCCCTAACTCATTTTATGAGGCCAGCATCATTCTGATACCAAAGCCGGGCAGAGACATAACCAAGAAAGAGAATTTTAGACCAATATCCTTGATGAAGATTGATGCAATAATCCTCAATAAAATACTGGCAAAACGAATCCAGCAGCACATCAAAAAGCTTATCCACCATGATCAAGTGGGCTTCATCCCTGGGATGCAAGGCTGGTTCAATATACGCAAATCAATAAATGTAATCCAGCATATAAACAGAGCCAAAGACAAAAACCACATGATTATCTCAATACCATACTATCTTGAATGCTGTAGCTTTATAAGTTTTAAAGTCAGATAGTGTCATCCTTCTGACTTTGTTCTTCAATATTGTGTTGATTACACTGGGTCTTTTGTCTTTCCTTAGAAACTTTAAAATCAATTTGTTGACATCCACAAAATAACTTGCTGGGATTTTGATGGGGATTATTATTGAATTTATAGATCAATTTGAGGAAAATTGGTATATTAAACATTTTTATGTCTTTCTATTCATGAATATAGAATATCTGTCCAATTTTAAAGATCTTTGATTATTTTAATCAAAATTTTGTAGATTTTCTCTAATACGTATAGTATCCTCTATATATATTTTGTGTCTCCCTTTTTTGGTGTTAATACAAATGGTGTGTTTAAAATTTTAAATTCCAATTGTCCATTGTTACTATATAAGAGAGCAATTGACTTTTGCATACTGACTTTGTACCTTCAGTCTTGCTAAAATCATCTACTAGTTAAAAGATTTTTATGAAGAGGGCTAATTCATTGATATTTTCTACATAAACAATGATGTCATCTGTGAACAAAGACTATGCAAGTCCAAGAACATTTTCAAAAAAACTATACTGCTTCAAAGATAGTACACATATAAATCAACAGAATACTTTAAATTCTTCCCTCAATTCTTATAACATTGTTGCCATTTTTTTACTTATCCATATGCTGTGGATGTGTGAATACACACACACACACACACACACACACACACACACACACACATATATATATAAAATTGTTATTACTGTGAACAGATATCGGTTATATCAGATAGAAATAAGAAAAATAAAAGATTTATTTGCCTTTTTATGATTTCTTTTCTGGACTTCCTTCTTTAAGAAGATCCAAGTTTTTGACCTATATTATTTTTCTTCTCTCTGAAGAACTTCTTTTACCATTTTTGGCAAGACTGAGCTAATGGCTGCAATTACACTCAGTTTTTGTTTGAGAAAGTCTTTATTCTTCACCTTCAAAGTATAAATTTATTGGGTACAGAATCCTAATTTGCCAGTGTTTTGTTTTTTATTTTCTTTGAACACTTTAAATATTTGCCTTCATTTTTTTTCTTGCTTGCATGTTTCTGAAGATAAGTCCAATATAACAATTTTCTTTATTTTCCTATAGGTAAGGTGTTTTTTGCTGTTGTTCTTGTTTTCTTTTGTTTTTCCTTCTGGCTTCTTTCACAATTTTCTCTTTGCCTTTGATTTTTCTATAGTTTGAATATGATATGCTATAATATATATCTTTTAATTTTTTTCTGCTTGGCATTCTCTGAGCTTCCTGCATTTGTGGTTCTATTTCTGACCTTAATTTTGGAAAATACTCAGCCATTATTATTTCAAGTATTTACTACTTTCTCTCTTTTTCCTCCTTCCAGTATTTCCATTATATGTATGTTATACCTTTTGTAATTGTCCTACAGTACTTGGATATTCTATCCCATTTTTAATTTTCCTTTTTTTTTTTTAATTTGGCTAAGTTTCTGTTAACATATTGGCTGTGTCCAGCCTACTGATGATCTATCAAGGGCATTCTTAATTTCTGTGACAGTGTTTATGATTTTCAACATTTCCTTTTCATGCTGTTAGAGATTCCATTTCTCTGCTTACATTACTTACATATTCTTGCACGTTATCTGCTTTTACCATTTGATTCCTTAGCATATTCATCAGAGTTACTTTACATTTAGAGTGATAATTTCAAAATATTCACTGGTTTGGGTGTTTGCTTTGTCTCTTTAGTTCATTTTTTCTTTCCTTTTAGCATGCCTTGTAATTTTTTGTTGTAAACTATAAATAATGTATTGGTTAATAGGAACTAAGGTATGTAGGTCTTTAGTGTGAGATTTTATGTTTGTTTGCCTAAGAGCTCATCTGTGTTTACTGTTTTCTGTAGCTGTAGTTGTCATAGGCTTCAATGGCCTCTGTTGTCGTTTTTGTCTCTTTGCTGTTTTTGGATTTCCCTAGAATCTCCTTCTTAAATAGAGTCTGAGGCTTGCAGTTCTTTCAGTAATCCACTGTTACTATACTGGAGCTCTGTGGTGAACAAGGGTAGGAAAGGTGAAGCAGTGTATAACCTTATGATTAAGTCTCAGTCTTTTCAGTCTTATAATGGATTTGTGCTCCTTGGCTGTGACCTTCACAAGTACTTCTTGCCTGCTTTTCCCATTTATGAGAGGCAGCAAGGCTAGAGGGGGTGCATTTGGGTAATTTATTTCAATGCTCTGGTGTAGTTATTTCCGTTGCTAGGTAGGCTTCTGTTGTGGGGAATGCTCTGGATTATTTTAAATGGTTACTTTTCCTCAGGGTATTTCAGAATGGTTACTTTTTTCATCCCACTGGCTAAACAGTTTTTAAATCTTTACCTTGAGCAGTTTGTGGGGCTCCTGAAAGTAAAATTCACAAAAGTGTGGGGCCCCGGGGGATTGGCCCTCAAAGTCTTCTCACTGTCAAGTAGTCTGAAGTAAGTGTGCAAGAACTGGTCAAAGTTAAGCATTCTTATGAATTACTGGCTCCAGAGGCTTCATCTTCAGGGAAGCCAAACTATATTCTCTGTATTTGCCTGTTTCTCTAGTATTTAAGGTTGGTTTTTAAGGTTAGTGGTTTGTCCAGCTCAATTCTCATGGATCTAAGTCATTCATTTTCAGTTTAGTTTTTTGGTTGTTTGTTGGGTGAAGGTGGATGGGAATGACTTTTAAGTCCTACGTTCATCATAGTAGAAATCAGAATGTGAAAGCTCCAAAAGTTATTTTTTAAGTGGAACTTTAAAATGACCCCAAATCACTTATTGTTAGTATTTATTGATATAAAGCCTCTACTACTAGGAAATTCTGAGTAGTGTTCAAGAGTAATAGGCTTGGAAGTCTAATTTCAATTCAACCACTTACTGATTGTGTCAACTTGGCAGACTGGCTTTATTCCTGTGCTTTATTTTACTTATGAATAAGAGAGAGACACTGGTAGTATCAACCATAGTGTTCTTGTGAAATTTAAATGAAGGTGACACAGAACAAAATCTCAGAACAATGTAAGTTTTTGGTAATAAGAGCTGTAATTATTATTTTCACAAGCAATTATTGTATACTACAGGAACTAAAGAAATGATTGTGTAGCATTCATCAGTGATATGGGATTCAAATTTATTTACACCTGATCTGGATTCCTAGCTTCAGTGTAACCTCGAGTATTTTAATCAACTGCTTGATCTCAGCTACTTTCTTTGTAAAGTAGTACTGATAATTTTTAACCTGATGTTGGTCATGAAGACAAATACATTACGTATGTAGAGTTAGTTCAGCACAATGCCTGAAACTCAGCACTCAGAAAGTGCTGCTAATCCTTATCAGTAGCAAATAGTAACTAGGTTTGACCTACATTTTGACGTAGCTTTGTTTAGAGTCTCCTTTGTGTTATGTCGAAGTTGATAAACAGCTGGAAGAGGCCACAAGAATGTCTTAACTTGTTCATACCTTTTTCCCTATATCATTTGGGATTGGCCAATACAGTGATCAGTGACAGAAAATCTGTCTAAATTATTCTTGTAAAACATTGATTCATAAACTCAGCACATACTTAGTGAGTTTGTATTCTACAAATGTTAAAGGGTTTGCAATTTACAAATTGATGGTTTTTTTCCCTTAAAAAGCAATTAATTATTTTATATATTTGAAGAAGCAAATTTTTGTCTATCCTCAAAATTTGGTAAACTGTAGTTAAAAATGCAAGTTCCTTTTTTACTTAATTATCTTAATATTTCTATCAAATAAATTTTGATGAGAAACTTCAGGGAGATTGATGTATTTGGGGGTAAACAATGAATGGTGAAAATCAAGATGTTTTGTGCAGATCCAGTGTTTTCCAATGTCCCTCTTGGTTAAGTAGATACCTGTAGTCAAAATGCTTGTGCTTTGTGGCCACACATCAGTGAATAATAATTGTCATCCAATTCACAAAGAAATTCAATTATATATTTAAAAATATTGTAAAAATGCAGAACATAATAAAATGTACCATATTAACCATTTCTAAGTGTACAGCTCATTAGTGTTAAGTGTGGACCCATTGTTGTACAACCAATCTCCAGAACTTTTTCATTTGTAAAACTGACACTCTGTACTTATTAAATAATAACTTCCCATTTCCCTCTCTCACAGCCCCTGGAAACCATTCTACTCTCTGTCTCTATGAATTCAACTACTCTAGGTATCTCATATGAATGGAATTATACAGTATTTATATTTTTCTAACTGGCTTATTATGTTATAGCATGTTTCAGAATTTATTTCTTCTTTTAGGCGGAATAATATTCTATTGTGAGTATACACTGCATTTTGTTTATCCATTTGTCCATTGATGGACACTGAGGTTGCTTTCACTCTTGGCTATTGTGAATAGTGCTACTGAATAGTGCTGCTATGGGCATGAATGTACAGATATCTCACTGAGATCCTTCTTTTAATTCTTTTGGACATATACCCAGAAGTGGAATGTCTGGAGTATATAACTGTTCTATTTTTAAGTTTTTTGAAGAACTGCCAAATTGTTTTCCATAGTATCTGCATCATTTCACATTCCCACCAAGTCTCCAAGTATTCCAATTTCTCCACGTTCACACCAACACTTGTTATTTTCTGTTTTTTTTTTTTAATGGATATGAGATAATATCTCAATGTGTTTTTTTACTTGCATTTCCCTAATGGTTAGGGATGTTAAGAATCTTTTTACATGCTTGTTGGCCATTTGTATATTATCTTTGGAGACATAGAATTATACCTTATAGAAAAAGGTAAAGAAAATATAGTTTTGTGAACCACCTTTTTAAATAAAATGTGTGTTTTCATGGCCATTTATCTGCAAACTAATATATTTCTTATATTTTTAACATATCAGTCCCTCCCCATAGGTTTCTTTTAAGGGTGAATCAAGTTTCTACCATAATCTAGCACTTCCATCTTTTCCTGCTTCTCAATAATTTTTTTTACATTTAAAGTAGCCAATTAGCACTTCTTCCCATGATTTATGAGAATTAAAAAGATTGTTTAAAGCAAAAATAAAAAGAAAAAGAAATTGAACAACATAGAAACTCCTAATGATATTTTTTGGCTAGCATTTTGTTCACTTGTGCCCAATATATGAGTAGTAGAAAGAGCAACAATCACCTTTAAAAAGTCAATCTGGTTATTATATCCTAAATCCCTACCAGTACCTAAAAACTGCCTACTATAAAATGTCTACCAGTACCCAAGATGAGCAAGCCTGCCTTTTACTGCATTGCAAATATTTGTATTATATACACTCGTGGATTTTCTCACTATCCTACTTACTCTTAAACTTATGTGCACAGTACTAATCTAGCCATGTGATTCTCTGGGTACAATTCAAAATTTTGCCTCCTAAGACCCTTAGGTAGATTTTATTCTTTGGTTATTTTTCTTTTGGCATTTTAATGATATATTTTTTAGAAGAAACTTGGCATACTATATAAATTAAATTTATTTGAAAGACTTGAAGGAAATAAAGGCCCATAACCTCAAATTGTTCATAAAATTAAGCTTGAAAATGACCTGTGAGATAAACAAAAACACATTGATTTTATTCCAGTATCCCATGTCTTCCACTCTTGCACCATTGCCTCTCTCTTATCTCACATCTATGTTTGTATAGGGATTCTAAATAATTAACTAAAAGAAGAGTGGGAAAAATACTATTTTGGTTTATAGATTGGTCAGCTTGTTATGTCAGAGCAAGCCCCAAATGGTTGACAGCTGCATTATACAGTAGACTTATTCAGAGATAGCCTTAAAAGATAATGGTGACAAAACAATCTTCCCAATGGGCAGAGCTATAGGAATGCATCTGGTCATCCATTTTATGTGCAAAGAGAAGTTCCCTGAAGTTAGTATATTTATGGCTGCAAATGGCCTGATTAGTCTAAGGCCTAGAGAAAAAAAGATGAAAAAATAATAAACAATGAGGTCCGAGTTGAGGCAAATAGATAAATATATGGTAATGAGAATCAAGTGTGTAGATTTATAGATTTATGTACGACATGTAAACACCCACAGACAACATCCACACAGAAAAGGGACTAAACAGCCAACTATAAAATGTGGTGTAGCCAGTTGACTCAGCCAGCTTCTGTGATCAGCCATCCCAGAGCGGGCATAATGAACACATGAAGTGACCGTGACAGCAAGACAAGTGCTACACACAGGCCCAGCGGAATGAGCTCTCAATTACCGAGGCTGAGCTACACATTGCTCATGTTCATTATCTGATCTTTCAGCAGCAAAAACTAGCATGGAGCCCACAGTGTGGCACCATGTCTCAAAGACGTCAATTGACTCCTTCATGGAAACTGACTACATTTGGTTTCTTCCATCCTGAGAAAGCCAACATTTTATTCCTAGAATTCATTTTTTTCAGGTACAGTTTCCTTTTCCAGCACCAGTATTCAACATGGAATTCTACATAATGTCATGTTATATTAAGAAACTCACTATATATGAAAGGAAATGTGAGAGCGAGCCCCAAACCAAGGAATTCATTCTTTGTGCTCCATACTGGCCACCCAAAAGCTGGATTAATAGAGAATGAAAATGGCCTGCTAAAGGTGTAACTGGGCCAAGTGTGGTGGCTCACACCTGTAATCCCAGCACTTTGGGAGGCAGAGGCAGGTGGATCACCTGAAAAGTCAGGAGTTCGAGACCAGCCTGGTCAACATGGTGAAACCCTGTCTCGACTAAAAATACAAAAATTAGCTGGCGTGGTGCCAGGCGACTGTAATCCCAGCTACTCTGAAGGCTGAGGCAGGAGAATTGCTTGAGCTTGGGTGGTGGAGGTTGCAGTGAGCTCAGATTGCGCCATTGCACTATTGCCTGTGTGACAAGAGTGAAACTCCATTTCAAAAAAAAAAAAAGTAAAGGTGCAACTGATGGGTCAACACGGAACAGTGCCATTCTACAGGACACTATCCATATATTGAACCAAAACCTCTGCATAGCTCCATGTCCCAAATATGAAGATTACATGGGTCTGGGAAACCAGGAAGTCAGTGCAATGGTGGACTCATTTACAACTCACCAAGAGCCACCAGAAGAATGGATTTTTCCCATTCTTGCAATTTTAGGACCTGTAGGGTTAGAGATCTTGGTCATCAAGGAGTGTACTTTCATCAGGGAACATAGCAAGAGCTCCACTGAACAATAAGCTTTGGTTGCCATTTCGGCATATTGGTACTTTTGTGTGTACAGGAATCAAGATGCAAGACTAAGTGTTGTCATTTTGTATGAATAATTGACCCTGATAAACAAGATGAGGCAAATACATTATTTATGGAACTGGAACCCAGGCAATCCATTTGGACACATCTTGATGCTATCTTGCCCAACTGTGGCTTTAAAAGGGCAGTTGGAGCAACCTTGGCTTGAGATGGCATGATAACCAAAGACTCAAGCTTCTCACAGATGTGGATCTGCATTATACTAGCAGATAGTTTTCCAAGGACAGCAGAAATGGTAACTTTGATTAAGGAGTATCTAGAATGGATAGTGGAAATAGAAAATTATGAGTGTCAGTTGTGGCCCTGAAACCAACTATAGCAGTGGGGACTGCCATTCATTTTACTAACCTGCTCCTTCTAACTTTTGCCTCAAGGAGAATCCCACTGGAATCCTGGAGAAGATCTTTCTCAAATGTAAAAGGGAAAGTCGGCCAAAGTAACTGTTGTCTATGGACATATGTCATCCAGATTCCCTTTCAGGAAAAACTTGATGCACAGCTATGAGAAGTGAGGTCAACAGGCAGCCTCAACTTTAGACAGGGTTGGCTGCAACTCCAGAGAGCTGCTTCATTTAAGGTCATGCACTTTCCAGGACAGCCCACTTGTGGAGATCAAGCAAGATAAGGGTATAAAAGCCCAGCTATTTTGGTCTTAATGGGATCCCGCGTACTATTGCCTTAGACTAAGATGAATAAGGTGTGACAATGGACACATGGCCAGAGCAATCATTTGTTCTGCCATATGCAACATCACCCGGAGTAGCCAGTTAATAAGTTCTGGAAATGGATAATGGGGATAGTTGCGCAACATTGTGAACACACTTAATACCACCAAACTGTACAATTAAATTGGTTATAAAGGAAAGTTTTATGTTACGTATATTTTACCACAATGTTACAAATCAAAGACTTAAGTTGGTATAAGTATGTATAAGTTGGTATAAGTATGGTATAAGGATCTTAAGTTTCTTTTAGAATATAGAATCGAATTCAGAATATAGATAGCCATTTAAAATTCAGCTATGGTGACAGGTAGGAGAAAACTTTTTGCAGAACTGGGGTAGTATGTTCACATGCACAGTATGTGAAACTGAACTATTTGTGTAACTGGACCTTTATGGCAGTGTATCCCCAACAGCTAAAATACATGAGCCTGAGAACTCAGGAATTGAAGTATGATTAACCTCACTCACCATCACTCATGTTGACTCATTTGTGTAATCTGTGCTTCCCATTTGTGCAACTTATGGGAACCAAGAAATCTGATACAATCAAAACCTTATGTAATGATCCCTTAAATAACCAACAACAACCAAGAAATCTTGCCTCTTGGTAGTAGGAGTGGGAGTGGAAGACAGAAAATTTCTGCAAGGGGATGAAATAAAAATACTAGTGAAATTGAGGAAACTAGGAACTACCTGCTTATTTGAGGCTTCTTATTCTGGTGTACTAACAGGCAAGTAAAGAATTTTATACATTAGTGATTATCTGATCACCCTGATAACCCTTAGTAGGTAGAGATACATTAAGGGACCAAGGGATTCTTGATGGTTGCATGCCTGATAATAACTGGAAACTGATATTTGCAATAACCATAGGCTAACAGGTAAAACTGAACTGAATGTTCCAACCACAAAATCAACCAAAGCCAAAGTACTGATTGGAGGTGGGTAAAAAGTAGACTGAGGGGCACAGGAGAGAAATGATATTAATTATGACACAGGCCTGGCAGTAGCAGAGGAAACTGTATTTTACTCCCCCAACATTCTTCCATTGTGACTTGTGGAGATCAAGCATGCCAGCATCCTAAAGAGTCTATAATGAACTGGATATGCATAGATGATGAGGGAGAAGGCAGAGTTGGAGTGTATTATAAACCTCTTGTGCCCCACCTCAAAGCTCTGTTCTCAGCTGCTGTTTTTGTTTGTTTTGTTTTGTTTTTGCTTTGCTTTGTTTAGTCATGTGTTATTTTCACAACTGTGGGAAGAAAAAGTGATAGCACTCCTGAATACAAAATAGAAATTTATGTGATTTCTTATGCAAGATTTTGAATATTTTTGAGTATGAACAGTAAGTTAAGTGTGTGTGTTCAAAAGTTGTTAGGAAGTGATTTTACTAAAAGAATCAAATAATCTGATAAAATCAAAACCTTATGTAATATTCCCTTATATAGCCAACAACTGATTTTACTTCTAGAGTACAAAACTTAAGAATGTATATAACAGAATAGAAACTGACTTTGATGTATCTTAAATTGTTCTCTTCATCTATCTCTAACCTTGAAGGGCTGAACAATTATACAACTCCAGGGGCAACTTTCAGATTGCATTTGATTTGAGTTTTCTGCCTGGAATTGTGCAATGAGAAAAGCCTCCACCAGCATCTGTTTTGAAGAATCTGTAGCTATTATCTAGTTTATTTCATTATCTTTCTAGCAAAAGCTGAGCCTTTCAGGACTGTTATAGTCATAGCTTTAAATACATTACAAAACCATGATTTAAGGCCTGTTACAAGCCCATATATTAGAGAAGAAAAACCAGTGGGGAAATAATTGGCTCAAGTCCTCCAGTTGAGATCATGGTCAGAGGGTGTAATGGTTGCCAGAAACCCTGGAAAAACTTCATATCTACACATCACTCCACCCTTCACCACAAATAAATAAGGCAATACAAGGCTAACATAGTTCCACCTTTTCCAAAATCAAGGCAGTAACAACCACCCTGGGCAGGCCAGATTGTTAAGTTTCATGTCCAAATGCACAATGAAACGGCTTAAGTCATAGGTGAGAGAGAGCATCCTACAACCCATTTTAACAAGTGATTTTTCATGTGGTATTCTCTATGAACTAGAGTTATTAAATTTAAAAACATCCTGAAGTATAACAGCTAAAATGCTTAAAAGCATATCTTTGAGGAAACTGGGTGCATCTTTATTTTTATTTGGATCAAAACTGGAGCTAGAACTAGAAATAGTCTTCAATTCCGAGATATTGTAGAACTTGTTACTGCAATTTATCATGAACATTTGAGTAGACCCTATAAAAATATTGTTATTATAATTAACTTTTGGAAGAGAGGTATAGAGAGGTATAGAAAATAGAATTATTAAACATTACCATTATTTTAAAATACATTCTCATTATTGAATTATTCTGCCCTGGTTTTATTTAGTTATTTTATTTGTAATAATCAACACCCATGAACACATCACTCAACGGAAAAGCTAAAATCTCAACAATGAAATACAGCTGACCATTAGGTCTTCCTGCAGTGCATACACTTCAATCTCTGTAGTGGGATAAACATCCTCCAAAATGTTTTTTTATTCTTTTCTTGCTTTCATTTTTGTAAACAGCTTTATTGAGATGTAATTGACATACAATAAACTGCACTTGTTTCAAGCATACAATTAAGTGAAATCTGACATTTACTTATGTATATACATATAAATTCATACAAATATATGTGCAATAATCAACACAAACTATCATCCCCAAAAGTTCCTCATGCCCCACTGTAATTTTATCATCCTTACCTGCTCCTTTTTGCGCCACTCCTTGATCCTCAGGCAATAACTGATCTACTTTCTGTCAGTATAGATTAGCTCATATTTTCTAGCGGTTAGTATAAATGTAAACATACAAAATATATTGGATTTTTTTTCCTCTGGCTTCTTTCACTGAGAATAATGCTTTGGTGACTCATCCATTTTGTTGTGTGTATCAGTGTTCATTCCTTTTTGGTACTGAGTAGTATGCCAATATATGGACAGGCCACAATTTATCCATTCACTTGTGGGTGGATATTTGAATGTTTCAGATTTTTGGCTAATACAACCAAAGCTTCTACGAACATTTGTGTACGAGTCTTTGTATGGCCACAGGCTTTCATTTCTCTTGGGAATTTTCCCAGGAGCAGAATGGCTAAATTGTATGACAGGTATAATTTTTAAAGAAACCGCCAAGCTCTTTTCTGAAGCTTGTGTATCATTTTACAGTTCTACCAGTGTTTGAATGTTCTAGCTGACACACTTCCTAGTCAGCCTTTGCTATAAGTTTTTTTTTTTTAACTTTTACAAATTTTAAAAGGTGTTTAACGTTGTTTCACTATGGTTTTAATTTGCTTTTCCTTAATAAGTAAATGATGTTGAACATGTTTTATCTACCTATTTGCCAATCATATATCCTCTTTGGTGAAATGTCTATTTAAATCTTTGCTCGTTTTTAAAATTAAACTGTTTATTTTCTTTTTGAGTTTTGAGAGTTCTTCATGTATTCTGCTTACAAATCTCTGGTCAGATCACGTTATTTGCAGATGTTTTCTCCAATGCTCTGATTGCCATTTCATTTTCTTGACAGTGTTTTCAAAGAGCATAAGTTCTTAATATTTATGAAGTTCAATTAGTCAATTTTTCATTAATGGATAATGCTTTTGGTGTATGTTTTAAAAAAATCTTTGAATAAAGTCACAAAGATTTTTTTTTTATCTTTTCTAGAAGTTTTATAGGTTAAGTTTAACATTTAGGTGTATGATCCATTTGATTTATTTTTATGTGGTGTATAGATCAAAGTTCACTTTTGAAGTGAATATGCAATTGTTCCAGCAATATTCTTTGAAAATCTATTCTTTTCTGCTGAACTATATTTGCACCTTTGTCAGAAACCAATTTATAATATAAATTGGGACCATCTCTGGGACTCTCTATTCTGTTCTATTGATTTACTTGTCTATCTTGATGACAACACTACACTTCCTTGATTACTCTTGATTAAGACTTGAAATCAGGTATTAGTCTTTCAAAAATATTTTTTCTTTTAAAAGTTGTTTTGATTCTTCTAGGTTCTTTGAATTTTTGTATGAAATTTATAATCAGTTTGCCATTTTCTACAAAGAGAACCCTGCTGATAGTTTGATTTAAAATATTTTAATTTACAGAACTCTTTTCAGGAAAATTTAAAACCTATCAGTGTTGAATTTTCCATCTATAAACACAGTATTCCATCTATTTAATTATTTAATTTCTCAGTAATATTTTGTAGTTTTCAGTATATATATCTTTCACACTTTTTTCAAGTTTATTCCTATGTATTGCATATTTTTGATGCTATTTTAAATGCTTTTAAAATTCAAGTTTGTTTTTTGTTGTTGTTATTGGTATTCCTGATCTTAGGGAGAAAATGTTTAATATTTATTCATTAAGTATAATTTTAGTTATAGGGTTCTCATAAATATTCTTTATCAAGCAGAAATTCACTTTTATTTCAGTTTGCTATGCATTTTTATCAGGAATTAATGTTGGATTTTGTGAAATGCTTTTTCTTCATCTATTGAGATGATTACATATATTTTCTTTTTGAGTCTGTTAATAATAATGAATTATTTTTATTGATTTTCAAATATTCAGTTAACCTTGTATTCCTGCAGCCAACCCCACTTGATAGATTACTGGCTCACTGTCTCCCTCTCTCTCCTCTCTCTCTCTGTCTGTCTCTTCTCAGTCTGTGTGCATGTGTGTGTCTCTCCGTGATTTATTTGCAAAAATCAAGACTATAATTTTCTTGTAATGTCTCTGGTTTTGCCAATATTATTTGTTCTCTAAACATTTGGTAAAATACAACACTGGGTCTAACTGGGCCTGGAATTTCCTGTGGGAAGACTATTAACTACATATGCAATTTCTGCAGTAGATGAAGGGCTTTTCAGGTTGTTTCATCTTAAATGTGCTCTGGTCGTTTGTATCTTTCAAGAAATTTGTCCATTTCATTTATATTTTCAAGTTTATTTGCATAAAATTGATCATAATATTCCCTTAATCTTTTAATATCTGCAGAATCTAAGTGATGGCACTTCTCTCATTCCTGATATTGTTAACTTCAATTGTTTTCTCCTGATCAATCTGGCTAGAAGTTTCTCATTTTTTTCCATCTTCTCAGTTAACACACTTTTTGTTTTTCTGCTGCTATTTGAGTGATTTTTTTCTGTAATATCTGTTTTATTATCACTTCTAAGAACTTGAGATCTAATTTGTTCCTTTTTTTTCTATTTGCTTAAGGCGGAAACAGAGTTAATGGTTTGGACACCTCTCTGTCTTCTTTTCAATACAGGCATTTTGTAATATAAAACTTCCCTTAAATATTTTCTTAATGTCAACCAACATATTTTGCTATACTGTGTCTCCATTTTTGTTCAACTCAAAATACGTTCTATTTTCCCTTTTTCTTTCTTTGTTGACACAAGTTATTCAGCATTATGTTCTTTAGTTTCTAATTATTTAGAGGATATTTTGCTGTCTTTCTGTTTTTGATTTCTGATATGATTTCATTGTGGTTAGAAAACACCTTGTATGACCTAATTCATATTAAATGAATTAATACTTGTTTTATAACCCAGAATATATTTTTATATATTGTATTCACTGTGTACTTTTCTGTCATTGGGTATTTTATAAATATTAAGGTAATTTTATTCATAGTATTGCTCTAATCTACATTCTTGTTCATTTTCTATCAACTTGCTCAATAATCTGAAAGAAGTATGTTGAAATCTTTGGTAATATTTGTGAATTTCCCTATCTCTTCCTGCATTTCTATAAGCTTTCGCTCTAAATATTCTGAAGGTCTGTTATTAGTTACATTAAAACACAGAATTTTTATGTCTTCTTGATTAGCTGACTCTTTGATCATTATATAATAAACATCTTTAATCTTTGCTTTCAAAAATACTTTGATATTAAATAGCCCCTTCATCTTTCTTTGATTAGGATTACAGTGACATATATTTTTCCATTTTAAAATGTGAATTCATTTATGTTTTTATATTTAAAGTGTATTTCTTGTGACCACTGTGTAGTGGGGTCTCAGTACATTATCTAATCTGACAATTTCTTTTAATTGGAAGATTTATGCTACTTACTTATGTTTTGTTTAATTTAAATACCATTGTTATTATTTAAACTTCTTATGTTTAGAATGTTGTAGATTTATCATCAGCACAAGTAAGCATCATGTTGATCTTCTGTAGTCACAACTTCTTCTTTTTGCACCTACCTCTTCCTTAACCACTGGCAACCACTAATCTATTATTTTCTGTAATTTTGTTTTTTCAAGATTGTTACATAAATCAAACTGTACATCATCCTTTGGGATTGATTTTTCTCATGCAAAATAATTCTTTGGAGATTCATCCAGGTTATTGTGTGTATCAAAAGTCTAGTTTTTAAATAATGAATGGTATTCTATGTTACAGATATACAGCAGTTTGTTTAACCATTCACTCATTGAAAGGCATCCATGTTGTTTCAAGTAATAAATAAAGAATAGCTTCCACTGACCATGCATTAGTGATCCAGATTCTTGCATCTTTTCTCACATTTGTTGTTGCCACTATTTTTTTTTATTTTAGCTATTCTAATAGATGTGTATGCTATATCATTGTGGTTTTAATTCACTTCCCCCTATGACGAATGATGTTCATGTTCTTGTTTGTCATCCATATAACTTCTTGGTTAAGTGTTTCTTTCAATCTTCTCATGGGCTTATTTGCCACCTATTTTACCTCTTTGATGAGATGTCTGTTTATGCCTTTGCAAATTTTCTAATTGGATTGTTCATTTTTTTGCAGTTGAGTTTCGAGAGATCTTTATATATTACAGATACTAGTCTTTTGTAATATATGTAGTTTGTAAATATTTTCTCCCAGTGTGATTCTCATATTTTTATTTTCTTCAAAGTCTCCTTTGCAGAGCAAAAGTCTGTAAATTTTGATGTTCAATTTGTCATTTTTTTCACTTTTACATGATTTTGGTATCAAATCTAAGAATTCCTTGCCTAACATTGAATCCTGAAAATTATCTGTGTTTTTTCCTAAAGTTTTATAGTTTTATATTTTTTTCTGTGATCCTTTTTGAAGTAAATTTTGTGAAACGTGAGACTTACATTAAATGTAATGTTTTGCCCATGGATGTCTAATTGCCCTAACACTATTTTTTGAAAAGGCTGTATATATCCTTGATTGAATTACATTTGCACCTTTGTCAAAAATTGGTTGAACATATTTGCATGGTTCTAATGGGTTCTCTATTTTGTTCCATTTATCTATGGATGTACTCCTTTGCCTTTATATAATATGACATAAAACTGAGTAGACTGATTTCTTATTTTTGCTCCCTTTAAAAATGGTTTTAGCTATTCTAAGTACTTTGCCTTTTCATATAAATTTTAGAATAATATTGTCTATGTCTACAAAAAGTCTTGCTGGGATTTGATTAAAATTATGCTAAAGCTGCATATTAATTTGAGGAAAATTAACATCTTTATTATGTTGAATCTTTTAATCCACTAATGGAATATGTCTCTCCATTTATTTAAATCTCCTTTGATTTCTTTCATCAGTGTTTATAATTTTTATTATACAAATCTTATACATGTTTTGCTAGATGTACACCTGAATATTTCACTTTTGATTGATTGTGAATCATACTCCATTGTTAATTTCGGTGGACATATGGTTATTGCTAGTATATAAAATTATACTCTAATTGCATTGATATAGTAATACAATTGTTATGTACAGAAATCCAAAATATATCATTCATCTTAGTACACTTTCCATGGGCACTTGAAAAGAAGGTGTCTCAATAGCAAAGACTTGGAACCAACCCAAATGCCCATCAATGATAGACTGGATAAAGAAAATGTGGCACATATTCACCATGGAATACTACGCAGCCATAAAAAAGAATGAGATCATGTCCTTTTCAGGGACATGGATGAAGCTGGAAGCCATCATTCTCAGCAAACTAACACAGGAACAGAAACCCAAGCACCACATGTTCTCACTCATAAATGGGATATGAACAATGAGAATGCATGGACACAGGGAGGAGAACAACACACACTAGGGCCTGTCAGGGGGTGGGGGGCAAGGGGAGGGAGAGTATTAGGACAAATACCTAATGCATGTGGGGCTTAAAACCTAGATGATGGGTTGATAGATGCAGCAAACCACCATGGCACATGTATACCTATGTAACAAACCTGCACATTTGCACATGTATCCCAGAACTTAAAGTAAAATTAAAAAAATATATAAATATATATAAAATAAGTAAAAAAAAAAGTAAAAATGCACTGAGGTGTTAGCAATACAATTAAATAGAGAAACATAAATACAGTTTTTCAGGATTTCAAAATGACTGCCTTCTTGCCCCTCAGAAAAGAAAGAAGACTCTATAATTCACAAAATGCCAGCATCTGTTGACAAGCCACATATATTTACTTTTATTTTTGTTATTATTGTCTTACTTATTTATCCTTATGCTCCTCCATTAAAACTGAGAGTTAACTGTTTATTACTTACATGAAAAAAGAAAGAAAAGAAGGTGTATACTACTGTTATTTTAGTGGAATGTTCTATAATAGTCAATTAAATACTACTGGTTCATGGTGTTAATTTCTTCTAGACTTTTGTTAATTTTCTAGTTATTCTAGAGAAAGGGATATTAAAATGTCCAACGATAATTATGGACTTAGCGATTTCTCCATTCATTTCTATCAATCAGTTTTTGCTTTACGTACTTTGCAACTCTGTTGGTGCATTCACATTGACAATTGCTATTTTATACTTCTTGGTAGTTGATAATTTATCATAATATAATGTTCCTCTCTGTCTCTAGCAATTTTTTATGCTCTAAACTCTACTTTACCTGCTATCAATATAAGTAACCCTGTTTCATTTGATTAACATTTGCAAGATAAACCTTTTTGTATCTTTCTACTTTCAGCTCACCTATATTTTAAGTGAGTCCTTTCTAGGCAGTATACAGTTGAGTCATGTTTTTCATTACATCCATCTAACCCATCTTTTTATTGGTATATTTAGATTGTTTACATATAATTATTGATATATTCTGGTATTACTTTCCTTCTGCTTGAAGAACTTTCTTTACATTTCTTCTCATTCACATCTGATTCTGATTAATTCTCTTTGTTTTTTAAATTTCTAAAACAGGGTTTGATTTTTATTTTTGAAAGATGTTTTCACTTGGTAAATAATTTTGTGCTTCAGTTATACCTATGTAACAAACCTGCACATTCTGCACATGTATCCCAGAACTTAAAGTAAAATTAAAAAAAGATAAAGAAAGAATTTTGTGCTTATAGTTCTTCTTTCAGTACTTTAAGGTGTTGCTTCACTGTTTTCATTCTAGCTTGCAATAGTTCCAACACATGTCTGCTGTCAGTCTCATGAATGTTTTTCTGTGTTTAGCATATCTTTTTCACTGAATGCTTTAAAAATTTTGCATTGTTTCTGATTTTAAGCAAGTTGAATATATTGGTTCTTGATAGAATTTGCATCATATTTAGTGTTTGTGGGGGTGGGAAAGGGGTACACTAGGGATAGATAAGCTTTTTGGATCTGAGGGTGATATGGGTTTGCTGTGTCCTCACCCAAATCTCATTTTGAATTGTAGCTCCCATAATTTCCATGTATTATGGGAGGGACCCGGTAAAAGATATCTGAATCATGGGGAGGTTTTCCTCCATACTGTTCTCATGGTAGTGAATATGTCTCACAAGATCTGATGGTTTTATAAAGGGTTTCCCCTTTCACTTGGCTCTCATTCTCTTCTTGTCTGTCGCCATGTAAGATGTGCCTTTTACCTTCCGCCATGATTGTGAGGCCTCCATAGCCACGTGGAACTGTGAATCCATTAAACCTCTTTTACTTCATAAATTACCCAGTCTCAGGTATGTCTTTATCAGCAACGTGAAAATGAGCTACTACAGTTGGTTTATAATTTTCACCAAATTTGGAATATTTTTGACCATTATTTTTTCAAATACTACCATTCCCCCTTTTGGGATTCCTATATATTTGGCTGCATTAATTTTTCCCACAGATCACAGATGCTATGTTCATTTTTTCAGTCTTTTTTTCTTTATATGTTTCACTTTGGAAATACCTTTTGCTAGGCATTCGAATTCAGTAATGTTTTCTTTTTTTTATTATTATACTTTAAGTTCTAGGGTACATGTGCACAATGTGCAGGTTTGTTACATATGTATACATGTGCCATGTAGGTGTGCCACACCCATTAACTCATCAGTTACATTAAGTATATCTCCTAATGCTATCCCTCCCCACTCCCCCCACCCCATGACAGGCCCCAGTGTGTGATGTTCCCCTTCCTGTGTCCATGTGTTCTCATTTTTCAATTCCCACCTATGAGTGAGAACATGCGGTGTTTGGTTTTCTGTCCTTGTGATAGTTTGCTGAGAATGATGGTTTCCAGCTTGATCCATGTCCCTACAAAAGACATGAACTCATCCTTTTTTTATGGCTGTATAGTATTCCATGGTGTATATGTGCCACATTTTCTTAATCCAGTCTATCATTGATGGGCATTTGGGTTGGTTCCAAGTCTTTGATATTGTGAATAGTACTGCAGTAAACATACGTGTACATGTGTCTTTATAGCAGTATGATTTATAATCCTTTGGGTATATACCCAGTAATGGGATTGCTGGGTCAAATGGTATTTCTAGTTCTAGATCCTTGAGGAATCGCCACACTGTCTTCCACAATGGTTGAACTAGTTTACGTTCCCACCAACAGGGTAAAAGTGTTCCTATTTCTCCACATCCTCTCCAACACCTGTTGTTTCCTGACTTTTTAATGATCACCATTCTAACTGGTGTGAGATGGTATCTCATTGTGGTTTTGACTTGCATTTCTCTTATGGCCAGTGATGATGAGCATTTTTTCATGTGTCTCTTGGCTGCATAAATGTCTTCTTTTGTGAAGTGTCTGTTCATATCCTTCGCCCAATTTTTGATGGAGTTGTTTGATTTTTTCTTGTAAATTTGTTTAAGTTCTTTGTAGATTCTGGATATTAGCCCTTTGTCACATGGGTAGATAGCAAAAGTTTTCTCCCATTCTGTAGGTTGCCTGTTCACTCTGATGGTAGTTTCTTTTGCTGTGCAGAAGGTCTTTAGTTTAATTAGATCCCATTTGTCAATTTTGGCTTTTGTTGCCATTGCTTTTGGTATTTTAGCTATGAAGTCCTTGTGCATGCCTATGTCCTGAATGGTATTGCATACGTTTTCTTGTGGGGTTTTTATGGTTTCAGGTCTAACGTTTAAATCTTTTATCCATCTTGCATTAATTTTTGTATAAGGTGTAAGGAAGGGATCCAGTTTCAGCTTTTGACATGTGGCTAGCCAGTTTTCCCAGCACCATTTATTAACTAGGGAATCCTTTCCCCATTTCTTGTTTTTGTCAGGGTTGTCAAAGATCATATGGTTGTAGATGTGTGGTATTATTTCTGAGGGCTCTGTTCTGTTTCATTGGTCTATATCTCTGTTTTGGTACCAGTACCATGCTGTTTTGGTGACTGTAGCCTTGTAGTATAGTTTGAAGTCAGGTAGTGTGATGTCTCTAGCTTTGTTCCTTTGGCTTAGGATTGTCTTGGCAATGTGGGCTCTTTTTTGGTTCCGTATGAACTTTAAAGTAGTTTTTTCCAATTCTGTGAAGAAAGTCATTGATAGCTTGATGGGGATGGCATTGAATCTATAAATTACCTTGGATAGTATGGCCATTTGCACGATATTGATTCTTCCTATCCATGAGCATGGAATGTTCTTCCATTTGTTTGTGTCCTCTTTTATTTCGTTGAGCAGTGGTTTGTAGTTGTCCTTGAAGAGGTCCTTCACATCCCTTGTAAGTTGGATTCCTAGGTATTTTATTCTCTTTGAGGCAATTGTGAATGAGAGTTCACTCATGCTTTGGCCCTCTGTTTGTCTGTTATTGGTGTATAGGAATGCTTGTGATTTTTGCACATGATTTTGTATCATGAGACTGCTGAATTTGCTTATCAGCTTAAAGAGATTTTGGGCTGAGATGATTTGGTTTTCGTTTCATGTCATCTGCAAACAGGGACAATTTGACTTCCTCTTTTCCTAATTGAATACCCTTTATTTCTTTCTCCTGCCTGATTGCCCTGGCCAGAACTTCCAACACTTTGTTGAATAGGAGTGGTGAGAGAGGGCATCCCTGTCTTGTGCCAGTTTTCAAAGGGAATGCTTCCAGTTTTTGTCCATTCAGTATGATACTGGCTGTGGGTTTGTCATAAACAGCTCTTATTATTTTGAGGTATGTCCCATCAATACCTAATTTATTGAGAGTTTTTAGCATGAAGGGCTGTTGAATTTTGTTGAAGGCCTTTTCTGCATCTATTGAGATAATCATGTGGTTTTGGTCTTTGGTTCTGTTTATATGATAGATTACGTTTATTGATTTGCATATGTTGAACCAGCCTTGCATCCCAGGGATGAAGCCCACTTGATCATGGTGGATAAGCTTTTTGATGTGCTGCTGGACTCAGTTTGCCAGTATTTTATTGAGGATTTTTGCATCGATGTTCATCAGGGATATTGGTTTAAAATTCTCTTTTTTTGTTGTGTCTCTGCCAGGCTTTGGTATCAGGAAGATGTTGGCCTCATAAAATGAGTTAGGGAGTATTCCCTCTTTTTCTATTGTTTGGAATAGTTTCAGAAGGAATGGTACCAGCTCCTCTTTGTACCTCTGGTAGAATTCAGCTGTGAATCCATCTGGTCCGGGACTTTTTTTGGTTGGTAGGCTCTTAATTATTGCCTCAATTTCAGAGCCTGCTATTGGTCTATTCAGGGTTTCAACTTCTTCCTGCTTTAGTCTTGGGAGGGTGTATGTGTCCAGAAATTTATTCATTTCCTCTAGATTTTCTAGTTTATTTGCATAGAGGTGTTTATAGTATTCTCTGATGGTAGTTTGTATTTCTGTGGGATTGGTGGTGATAACCCCTTTATGATATTTTATTGCGTCTATTTGATTCTTCTCTCTTCTTTATTAGTCTTGCTAGTGGTCTATCAATTTTGTTGATCTCCAAAAACCAGCTCCTGGATTCATTGATTTTTTTGAAAGGTTTTTTGTGTCTCTATCTCCTTCGGTTCTGCTCTGATCTTATTTATTTCTTGCCTTCTGCTAGCTTTTGAATGTGTTTGCTCTTGTTTCTCTAGTTCTTTTAATTGTGATGTTAGGGTGTCAATTTTAGATCTTTCCTGCTTCTCTTGTGCGCATTTAGTGCTACACATTTCCCTCTACACACTGCTTTAAATGTGTCCCAGAGATTCTGGTACATTGTGTCTTTGTTCTCATTGGTTTCAAAGAACATCTTTATTTTTGTTTTCATTTCATTATGTACCCAGTAGTCTTTCAGGAGCAGGTTGTTCAGGAGCAGGTTGTTCAGTTTCCGTGTAGTCAAATGGTTTTGAGTGAGTTTCTTAATCCTGAGTTCTAGTTTGATTGCACTATGGTCTGAGAGACAGTTTGTTATAATTTCTGTTCTTTTACATTTGCTGAGGAGTGCTTTGCTTCCAACTATGTGGTCAATTTTGGAATAAGTGCGATGTGATGCTGAGAAGAATGTTTATTCTGTTGATTTGGGGAGGAGAGTTCTGTAGATGTCTATTAGGTCTGCTTGGTGCAGAGCTGAGTTCAATTCCTGGATATCCTTGTTAACTTTCTGTCTCATTGATCTGTGTAGTGTTGACAGTGGGCTGTTAAAGTCTCCCATTATAATTGTGTGGGAGTCTAAGTCTCTTTGTAGGTCTCTAAGGACTTGCTTTATGATTCTGGGTGCTCCTGTATTGGGTACATGTATATTTATGATAGTTAGCTCTTCTTGTTGAATTGATCCCTTTACCATTATGTAATGGCCTTCTTTGTCTCTTTTGATCTTTGTTGGTTTAAAGTCTGTTTTATCAGAGACTAACTTCCACCCCTGCTTTTTTTTGTTTTCATTTGCTTGGTAGATATTGCTCCATCCCTTTGTTTTGAGCCTATATGTGTCTCTGCACATGAGATGGGTCTCCTAAATACAGCACACTGATGGGTCTTGACTCTTTATGCAATTTTCCAGTCTGTGTCTTTTAATTCGAGCATTTAGCCTATTTACATTTAAGGTTAATATTGTTATGTGTGAATTTGATCCTGTCATTATGATGTTAGCTGTTTATTTTGCTCGTTAGTTGATGCAGTTTCTTCCTAGCATCGATGGTCTTGGCGATTTGGCATGTTTTTGCAGTGGCTGGTACCGGTTGTTCCTTTCCATGTTAGTGCTTCCTTCAGGAGCTCTTGTAAGGCAGGCCTGGTGGTGACAAAATCTGTCAGCATTTGCTTGTCTGTAAAGAATTTTATTTCTCCTTCACTTATGAAGCTTAGCTTGGCTGGATATGAAATTCTGGGTTGAAAATTCTTTTCTTTAAGAATGTTGAATATTGGCCCCCACTCTCTTCTGGCTTGTAGAGTTTCTGCTGAGAGATCCGCTGTTAGTCTGATGAGCTTCCCTTTGTGGGTCACCTGACCTTTCTCTCTGGCTGCCCTTAACATTTTTTCCTTCATTTCAACTTTGGTGAATCTGACAATTATGTGTCTTGTAGTTGCTCTTCTCGAGGAGTATCTTTGTGGTGTTCTCTGTATTTCCTGAATCTGAATGTTGGCCTGCCTTGCTAGGTTGGGGAAGTTCTCCTGGATAATATCCTAAAGAGTGTTTTCCAATTTGGTTTTATTCTCCCCGTCACTTTCAGGTACACCAGTCGGACGTATTTTTGGTCTTTTCACATAGTCTCATATTTCTTGGAGGCTTTGTTCATTTCTTTTTACTCTTTTTTCTCTAAACTTCTCTTCTCGCTTCATTTCATTCATTTAATCTTCAATCACTGATACCCTTTCTTCCAGTTGATCGATTTGGCTACTGAAGCTTGTGCATGCGTCGCGTAGTTCTCGTGCCACGGTTTTCAGCTCCATCAGGTCATTTAAGGACTTTTCTCCATTGGTTATTCTAGTTAGCCATTCTTCTAATCTTTTTTTCAAGGTTTTTAGCTTCTTTGCAATGGGTTTGAACTTCCTTCTTTAGCTCAGAGAAGTTTGATTGTCTGAAGCCTTATTCTTGCAACTCGTCAAAGTCATTCTCCATCCAGCTTTGTTCTGTTGTAGGCGAGGAGCTGCGTTCCTTTGGAGGGGAAGAGGTGCTCTGATTTTTAGAATTTTCAGCTTTTCTTCTCTGGTTTCTCCCCATCTTTGTGGTTTTATCTACCTTTGGTCTTTGATGATGGTGACGTTCAGATGGGTTTTGGTGCGGATATCCTTTCTGTTTGTTAGTTTTCCTTCTAACAGTCAGAACCCTCAGCTGCACGTCTGTTGGAGTTTGCTGGAGGTCCACTCCAGACCTGTTTGCCTAGGTATCACCAGTGGAGGCTGCAGAACAGTGAATATTTCTGAACAGTAAATGTTTCTGCCTGATCGTTCCTCTGGAAGCTTTGTCTCAGAGGGGCACCCGGCCGTGTGTGGTGTCAGTTGGCCCCTACTGGGAGATGTCTCCCAGTTAGGCTACTCGGGGGTCAGGGACCCACTTAAGGAGGCAGTCTGTCCATTGTCAGATCTCAAACTCTGTGCTGGGAGAACCACTAGTCTCTTCAAGCTGTCAGACAGGGACATTTAAGTCTGCAGAAGTTTCTTCTGCCTTTTGTTCAGCTATGCCCTGTCCCCAGAGGTGGAGTCTACAGAGGCAGGCAGGCCTCCTTTAGCTGCGGTGGGCTCCACCCAATTCAAGCTTCCCAGCCGCTTTGTTTACCTACTCAAGCCTCAGCAATGGCGGGCGCCCCTCCCCCAGCCTTGCTGCCACCTTGCAGTTCGATCTCAGATTGCTGTGCTAGCAATGAGCGAGGCTCTGTGGGCGTGGCACCCTCTGAGCCAGGCGCGGGATATAATCTCCTGGTGTGCAGTTTGCTAAGATCTTTGGAAAAGCGCAGTATTAGGGTGGGAGTGACCTGATTTTCCAGGTGCCATCTGTCACAGCTTCCCTTGGCTAGGAAAGGGAATTCCCTGACCCCTTGTGCTTCCCTGGGTGAGGTGATGCCTTGCCCTGCTTTGGCTCTTGCTTGGTGGGCTGCACCCACTGTCATTTACCCACTCTCTGACAAGCCCCAGTGAGATGTACCTGGTACCTCAGTTGGAAATGCAGAAATCAGCCATCTTCTGCATCGCTCACGCTGGGGGCTCTAGACTGGAGCTGTTCCTATTCGGCCTTCTTGGACTCAGTAATGTTTTCATCTGCAATTTTTTCGCACACGTTAATCTCATTCAACATACTTTTCATCTCAGACATTGCAATTTTTATTTCCTGAAGTTTAATGAGTGACTTTTTTTACATCTTTCCTTATCTCTTCTCATCTTAATATGTTTAATCTTTCCTTTATCTTCCTGAGCATGTGGAATACAGTCATAATAATTGTTTTCACATCCTTGTCTACTAATTCTGCCATCTGTGTTGTTTCTGGGTTTGTTTCAATTGATTGATTTTTGTTTTAATTCTTTTTTACATGTCTGGTAGTTTTTAATTGGATGTCAGACATTTTGGATATTACATTATTGGGCGAGTATAGCTTTGTATTCCTACAAATACTATCAAGTTTTATTCTTGGACATGTTTAAGTTATTTCTAAGCAGTTTGATCTTTTGGGTCTTGTTTTTGAGGGCTGCTAAGTGAAACCAGAGCTGCATTTTCCTAAAGCTAACGTTCCTTCACTGAGGCAAGAGCCTTCTATATACTGTGAACAATGCCCCCTGAATTATGAGGTTTTCCACGGTAGCAGTGCTTGGCACTGTTCTCTCTAATCCTTTCAGTTTGTGTTTTTCTGGGTTCACATAGTTTCCTCAGAAGTGTTTGATAATCAGTTCTCAGCTGAATATTCCAAAAAGATCTCTTTTTAGATTTCTGAAATTTTTCTCTGGTATCTCCCTTCTTGTCCACACTCTGCTCCATGAAGTCAAGCCATCTTGACCTCACTAAAGTCCCAGCTCCCTTACCTCAATTCAGAGAGATAACCTAGTGCTATCTGAGTTTCTCCTTCCTACACCATGGCTTGGAAGCATCTTGTAGAACTCATGGGATGATTGTAGAGTTCATATTCGTTTCTTGTCTCTGATACTTGACATTTTAATTATCTTTGAAGTGCTATAATGTTTTGTGCACATTTGTTTTGTAGTTGTTGCTGTTATATTTGGAGATGATGCAAATTCAGTGTCTGTTTTTTCTTCTTGACCAAAACCTTCTTGCTTTCCTTTAATATGTTTTTTCTTTTTTTAAAACTTCCTTACATATGCTTAATGAGTATATAGTGTCATGTTAGTAGATTTTATTTTTAGCTTAAAAAATTGTTTTTACAATTAATCAGAGATGTAACATATAAATTCAAAATTCATTTACTTAAAAATTATATATTATGGGCCAGAGTGGTGGTTCACACCTGTAATCCCAGCACTTTGGGAGGTGGAACACCTGAGGTCAGAAGCTCAAGACCAGCCTGGCTAGCATGGTGAAACCCTGTCTCTACTAAAAATACAAAAATTAGCTGGGCATGGTGGCGGGCACTTGTAATCCCAGCTACTTGGGAGGCTGAGGCAGGAGAATCACTTGAACCTGGGAGAAGGAGGTTGCAGTGAGCTGAGATTGCACCACCACACTCCGCCTGGGTGACAGAGCAAGATTCTGTCTCAAGAAATAAAAAATAAAAAATAAAAAATATGTATGATGAGTGTGTCAGGAATATAGTTTTTAGAATTTAAAAATTATCTATCTTAACTCCCTTATTTTGTTGTTTATATGACTTGTCAAGGTTCGTATAAGTTTAAAAAATAGCCTCTGCTAATAGGTTGCCTGGGTGTAATCTCAAACTCTATCATTCATTTTCTATATTTGCTTGGACAATTGACTTAATATTTCTAAGCCCCAGTGTCCTCATCTATAAAATAGAAGCATATTTATTAGAAGTACTGATACTAAGTGGAATGCACTAGCACAAGGCCAACTCACATTAAACAAACATTACTTATTAATAACGAGTTAACTATTAGAAACCACACTATCATTTGAATCCACTTCTCTGATTCAGCCTCAAAGGAAGAAACTGACTCCAAATCCCCTTATGCAAATGAAGCACTAATCATAATCTTCTATATTAGGTTAGGTGTATAAGATTTCATTATTGTTTTCTCTTATTTACTGCCCCTTCTTATGAGAGAATTATACCTCCCTGAAACATGGAAGTCAGACTTGGCCATATGACTTGCTTTGGTCAATGAAATGCGAATGAACCTGACATATATCGCTTTCTAGCAGAAGCCTAAAGAGTAACTACATAGGTTTTTTATTCTCCCATGAGACCAGCATGACCTGGTAGGTGCCAGGATTCAAAATGGAGAATTTGTGGAACAGAGCTTCTATTAACCCATGATGGATGGGAATTGCAGTTAAATAAATAAATAAATAGATAAACTATTGTTGTAAATGATGAAGATTTTGAAGTCTTCGTTACCACAGAAATAACCTCTGTTACTATAGAATAATCTAGGAAAAGCTAATTAATATATTAAACTACATGTCTTTTCTGGGCATTGTTGTATTAGTCAGGATTCTCCAGACAAACAGAGCCAATAGGATATACTGTATATAAGTATATAAAAAGATTTATTGTGAGGAATAGGCTTACACAATTATGAAGGTTGAGAAATTCAGACCCAGAAGAGCCAATGGTAGTTCCACTCCAAGTCGAAAGACCTGAGACATGGGAGAAGTCAGAAGACCTGAGATATGGGAGACACGTTATAGTCTGAGTCTGAGACTGAAGACAGGAGAATATAAATATACCAGCTCAAAGACAGGCAGAGAGAATTTTTTCTTACTCAGCATTTTATTATATTCAGGCCCTCAATGGATTGAATGAGACCCACCCACACCAAGGAAGGCAATTTGCTTTACTCAGTCTACTGATTCAAATGTTTATCTCATCCAGAAACATCCTCACAGACACACTGAGAATAATGTTTAACCAAATACAAATATCTGGGCACTCTCTGGCCCAGTCAAGTTGACACATAAAATTAATCATCACAATTGCCTTGCTATTTCTTTCCAAGGCAACAATTTCTACAAAACTTACCAAATATATTGCTAAATGCTGTGCATTTTATTTGACAATTTGATTTATAAAGTGTTAATTTTCTGAATTCAAGGAAAAATATAAACTTTTTCTCATTTTTTTATCCCAGATGTTTGGTAACATGCAAACAGAATAGAATATAAATGGTTTTGAAAGAAAATTAAGCCAGAATTTCAGTATAATCAGGGAAAACTGTACTTTAAAATAGGACGAATGGAAATTGTTTTCTTGAGAGTGGTCCCTTATTAATATATTAAGAAACTCCTTTTTTTGTCATCTGGCCTGAGAACAGGTTCACTCAAAGTTAACTGATAGATTTTTAAATAAAATACTTGTTGCACAGTAGCAGCCTAAGAATACATGTTTTGAAGCTTTTGCAACACTAATTATTATTTAATTCGAAAGCATACAGAACATATTATTGATCAAAGTGTTTTAAAGTAAAAATACTATACAATTAATTTAAAATGATCATCAAAAATAAATTCTTTATAGCTGTCCAGTGAAAATAAGCCTTTATAAATTAATATTTACTAGGTTTTCTGCTTTGATATATTTTATTTTATATTTTGAAAATACATCTGAGGAAAGTTTGAAAAGGAATGGAAATGGGAAGAAGTAATGGGGATTTCAAATGCCATGGTAGAAATTTATTTCTTAAGTTGTGTGTTGGATACATTGGTATTAAATTGCCTTTATACATTTTTTTGTATCTCTTCAATGTTTAACCAAATTTTTAAGAAATCCACTAAGTTGAAAAATAGAAAATACTCGTTCAAATTTGATGCAAAAATTGTGAGTGACAAGTAGCAGAAGCTGCTTTAGTGGAGAGATGAGGGCAGAAGCCAGATTGGAGATGGTTCAGAAAAGAATGGAAAGTGATAAAATGCGGTTACAGTGTAAAAACAACTTTGTCAAGAAAAAAGATATGGCAGTAAATGAAAAAGGATGTAGATTCAAAAGGAGCGTATTTTATTTTACTTCATTTTATCTTGTAATGAAGGAAGAATTGACACAAGCGTAAAAGCCAATGGGAAGGATCAGCTGAGAGAAAAAGACACTGAGAAGAAGAAAGGATATACAGTAGTGAAAGGTACTTGAGAAATAGTGGTGTAACCCATCTTGTACACAGAGGAAGTTATCCTGAATTGGAAAAAAATATATACAGCTCCTTTATTGTAACAGGAAGGAGGGAGAAAATAACAAGAAGTTTTTTTTAGAAAGTTAGAAGAGACATGTCTGTTTTCTGAATTAGAGAAATTAAAAAGAGACTTGAGAAAAACAAAATCAGAAGAAATTTAGTAGATACTAATGGGACTTTACTGATTAAATGTTTTTGTGTGTGTGGTGGGGGTGGGTGGTGGTGGTGGAGAGTACGTGAATGAAAGAGGAATACAAGAGTAGCTGGACTTTGAACTTGAATAGTTGGATGAAATATAATGCTAGCTGTTGAAGAGAGCAAAAATCACCTGGTGACCATTAAACAGGCCCCAGATACAAGAACTCCTTATATGAAGAATTTAGAAGGGAGCAAAGACCGCCTGGTGACAATCAAACAGGACATCAGAAGGCAAAGCTCCCTCTCTGGAGACTTTAGAAGTAATTAAACTTCCCTAGTATCTAAAGTCGGCACCTGGTTCCAGGCCTCTTTCAACTTTTATAAGTAACCAGAATTTCTATACACCTCCGGAATGCCATGCCAAAACTCATTTTTTAATTCTTGCTGACATTATGGCACTAAAATGTCTACAAATGTAATAATTTATTATGCAAATTGTCCATCAGCTCCATTTTAAGGTTCATAAATACCATTAAGAAAAAAATCCACCTCCACGAGCTCAGTCCTCGCTCATTGAGGCTCTCCACTGCACTTTTGCAGCATTACTTTCTTTCTAATAAACTTTTCTTTTTCAATCCTGTACTGTTATCAATACATTCTTCTTACCAACCTGTGACTCAACTGCTTCTCGATGCTGGGGCTCTGACACCTCGCCTGGCACCTCGCCTGGCACCTATCATAGAAAGATGATCTGGTGTTCATTGGAAGCCTACCTCAAGATCAGACTTGTGCTAAAAATAATCTGAGGTACAGATCAAAATAACCACATTGTGGTTACTACCTCTCCAGTGAAAACATAAAAGAACCAGGAGTCAGGAGATCTGGAGTCTCTCCTGGTTGCACCACTACAGGTACATTGACCTGTGTACACTTCTGTTAACCTCATTGGCCTCGTTGTCTTTATCGGACCGAATCAATTTTTTGTCTTCATAATTTTTTTTTTTTTCCTCTGAGATGGAGTCTTGCTCTGTTGCCTAGGCTTGAGTGCAGTGGTGCGATCTTGGCTCACTGCAACCTCTGCCTCCCAGGTTCAAGCAATTCTCCTGCCTCAGCCTCCTGAGTAGCTGGGACTACACGTGCCCCCCCACCACGCCCAGCTAATTTTTGTATTTTCAGTAGAGACGAGGTTTCCCTATATTGGCCAGGCTGGTCTTGAACTCCTGACCTTGTGATCCGCCCACCTCAGCCTCCCAAAGTGCTGGGATTACAGGTGTGAGCCACTGCACCCAGCTATCTTCATGATATTTTTATGCACTCTACTGAGAAACTATATTGGAAAACATCTTCAAAATTCCAAGTTTCTAGTCATATCTATAAGTATATGATGTTTCTTTGTTTTGAGTCAGGTTACAGTGAGATAATGGTCAAAAACATCAATTGTTTTTTGAGCAGTTCTTACATTTATATACTTTCAGTATTCATTTCCTCATTTAATAAGAGTTTATTGAATACTTAAACTATGTACATAGTACAGTTTTAAACACTTAGAATAAGTAAAAGTTTTAAAAAATCTGTGCCTTCAGAAGGCTTACATTCCAGAGAGAAGAGAAAGATAATGATCAGTAAATAAAATAAACAAAGAGAGTATGTTTGAAGGTGATAAGTGCTTGAAAAGATAAAAAGATCTTGAAAGGAGAGCACTGAAAGGGAGACCAAGCAGGAGGATTAGGAGTTACATTGTATTTAAACTATGACTCACACCTGTAATCCCAGCACTTTGGGAGGCCAAGGCGGGCAGATCATGAGGTCAGGAGATGGAGACCATCATGGCTAACACGGTGAAACCCCGTCTCTACTAAAAATACAAACAATTAGCCGGCATGGTGGCAGGTGCCGGTAGTCTCAGCTACTCGGGGGGCTGAGGCAGGAGAATGGCGTGAACCCGGAAGGCTGAGATTGCAGTAAGCTGAGATCACACCATTGCACTCCAGCCTGGGCGACAGAGCAAGAGTCCATAAAAAAAACAAAACAAAACAAAACAAAAAACCAAAACTCTCAGTATCAACTTATAAGCAAAGGATGAAGGATTTAACCATGGGATATCTGAGGGAAAGGAAGCAGCTGGTGAAGCAGCCCTGAGGGCAGAGAGCACATGACAGAGTAAGAACACCACAGTGGACGGGAGAGACCTTGTGGAGAGAAGAACACCACAGAGACGGGAGAGACCTTGTGGCATCGGAGAGATAGAGGGGCCAGTTCATCGGCTTCTCCCTTCTTCTGATTGAGATGGGGAGTCACTAGAGGAATTGAAGCAGAGGAGAGGCATGATCTGACGGAGGCTTTATAAAAGATCACTCCCACTATTGTGTGGAAAGAAGTTTTCTACCTTTTGGTGGGGGTTGGAAGAGGAAGGCAAGAAGCCTGGGAAAAAGCTATTGTATTATGGTTAAGGGAAGAGATGAGGTGGTGGCACATTATGGTTCTATTCTAAAGGTAAACAGAATTTGGTGACACATTTGGATATATGGCGTGAGGGAAAAAGTGAAGCGAAGAATAACTTCAAGATGATTGGCCTGAGCAACTGGAAAGATGGAGCTGCCATCAACTGAGGTGGAAAGACTGTGGGTGGGGCAGGTTTATGAAGGGTGTAGAACAGATCAGCTCTGGAGGATTTCAGTTTGAGGTGTGGATTCGGCATTTCAGAGAGTTGGCAGCATGGATCATGTGGTCATCTCCCACCTAATGTAACACGTCATCTGAGTAGTACATGAATAAATGACACAGTACAGCATATTTGTGCAGAACAAATAATATATACAAGTTTTCTAATTTTCAAATTCTTGATAGCCTATCAAACTCCTTTTTATTTGTTTGAATGCTTTCTGATGGAATGAAAATAGCATAGATTATCCAAAAAGCTGACTTAGATGGAATGGAAATAGCTTAGAATATCCAAAAACTGATTCAGTCATTTCTTTCAAAATGTTTAAACTGCTTGACTCTTGTTAGAAGAAACTTTCCATGTTTTTTAAAAAATCTAATTCAGATTTTAATATTGCTCTGAGATCTCTCTCACAATTTTATATGCCAAATGTAATTGTTTTTAATACAGCAAATTTCTAAAGTAATCTGTTATTTTGCAGTCAAGAATATAAGTGTGTAATAATATAACCATAACCCAGCTAAAGACTAAGTCTATCCCAGGTTTATCTTATTCTGCAAGTAGGTTTAGGTTATTGCTGACGAGGAGATTAATTCCACGTACTCAAGTCAACAATGATTGCCAGACAGGTTTATGGGATGGAAGTGCTTACAGATCATTCAGGGACCTTGATTGTAAGGTGATATGAAATATCTTTGCAATATTTTCTCTTAGTTACTTTTATCTGCTAGGCTTATAGACCTGTAAATGAAAGTGGCAGATTTCCCCAAAGAATTCAATTTTAGTTATGAGTTTACTTTATAGAACCTCTATTCTACCTATATAAGTACTTCATGTGGTAACACAGGCAAATATAAAGCAACATCCTATTTTATTTTATTAGTGTATTTTACAACAATTCTACAGATACACAAGCTTCAGAAATCATAAACACCAAGGTCTTGAAGACTTTACCTTCCTATAAAGTACTTTTTGAAAAGTAATACTGCCTCCCAACCTATAAATACACTGCTACTCTTGAGGGAACAAAGATTTATCTCTTCTCAATTTACAAGTAAATCCATTGTTAACCCATCTCACCTCTTCACCAATAAAGGGCTGATTTATGATTGATGGTCAATGAGTCCATCTGAGGCAGTTTCTACTAAGGTTAAGAAAAGGAAGTATAAGAAAACCTGGTAAATTATGCACCATTTAAGGCAGATTAAAGAAAGGAAGCTGTATTATACCACACAGCACCAATCGTAAGCAAGGAACTGTTACGTGCTGTACTTCCGTGATGAGAATGATGATGCAAGTCAGTAATTATTCCCTCAGCAGAATACAGTTCATGAGGCTTGGGTATTGTGGCTGTGCCACAACTGTCTCTTAAGATAATTCTGACAAATTCTGATTTATAAATAATGACTTGCCCGTTGTTGCCTGCATTTCCTTACATTTCACTGTTTGCATGCATATATTATCCCATGCTAAAAAGCAAACACAAAGCCCCCCAAACAAAAAGCACATCGTTATAGTCTGAATGTTTGTATCTCCCCAAAATTAATGTTGATACCTAGCCCCTAAAGTGATGGTATTAAGAGGTGAGGACTTTAGGAGGTGGTTAAGTTATAAGGGTAAACCCCTCATGAGTAGAAATTAGTGCCATTATAAAAGGGACTCCAGAGAGCTCTCTTTCCTTTTTCCACCATGTGAGTACACAGCTAAAAAGTGCAATCTATGAATTAGAAAACAACAGGCCCTCATCAGACACCAAATATGATGGCACCTTGGTTTTGAACTTCCCAGCCTCCACAACAGTGAGAAAGAAATTTCTGTTACTTATAAGCCACCCGGTCTATAGTGTTTTGTTAAAGTAGGCCAATAGGACTGAGACACACCTATGTTTATAAGAGAAGAGTGAAACCAATTAATTGAAATAGGGATTGTTCTAGTGGCTAATGGAAAATTTTACTGAGAATGAAAGAGTAGTGTATGGAGTTAGAGGATTCCATGTCAAATCCTCCAACTCTTCCTTAAAATACACTTTCCTTAGGATCTATAGCATAATTGTGTTTCCTTAAAATATATTTTCTGTGGTGTAAATCTCCTCAAAGATTCTTTGTTATCCCTCTTCTTTCGTGGATGAACAGCCAAAGGACCATGAGGAGAGCTCTTTATGTGACCCTAATATATCATGGTCAAAGGATCTTACAATTTGGGACCCCAAGTGAATGACAGTGAGTGGCAGTGTCTTTTCAGGGATGTATGGTAAAAGCACACTTGAGAAATACTGGGCCTTCTTACAGGTTTAACATTTAAAATGCTCTGAGAAGAAGTGTTGCAATATTTGTAATATATTTCACCATGGACTTCTGTTGTTGTAGTTGGCATAAAATTCATTTGCACGACGGTCATGTTAGTCTAATCCAACTACTCTCAGAAGGAGGAAACTGAACTACTCTCAGGAGGAATCTGAGATCCGGAAAGGTAGATAATATGACCATGATCTTTAAGACTGTGTCATAGCCTAAACTAGAACTGTGATCTGTGGGCTCCCAATTCAGTGCATCTGGGGATTTATACTAAGGCCTTTGTGAAAAAGTTGAGCTGTATGTAAGATCAGGGAAAAGCACCGGAAAACAGAGGAAACTGTTTTGCTCAATATTTTTTAAAATCTCATTTACTCTAATATTGTATTTCTTTTCACTGTTAAAATGATTTGAAATATATTACCTCATATACCTACCTTCATCTAGCAATAGATGCTCCTTGAATTATGATGGAGTGACTTCCCAATAAACCCATCATAAATTGAAAATATTCTAAGTGACAAATGGGTTATTAAACACCCAACCTACTGAACATCATAGCTTAGCTTAGCCCACCTTAAATGTACTCAGACACTTACTTTAGCTTACGGTTGGGTAAAATCATATGGCATCACAGTGGATTGTAGGGTAAGGGGTGTTTACTCTCATGATCCTGTGGCTGACCGGGAGCTGCTGCTTGCTGCCACTGCCCAGCATCTGGAGAAAATATCTGTGGCATGTCACTAGCCTGGGAAAACAATCGGATTTCAAAAATCAGAGTACATTTTCTACTAAATGTGTATTGCTTTTGCACCATTTTAAAGTTGAAATCTTCTGAGTTGAAGCATAGTAAGTCAGAGACCATCAGTGCTTAGTGAGTTATCCAGAAACCTGAGTTTTTCTTCTTTAAACTTGGAAAAATTAAATTGTACTTTCCTATGTTTGTCAGCCAAGGGCGTGTTTCAGGAAAAACTCTCAAATCCTGTTTCTCCCCTGTTCTCACACCACAACCATCGACACAGAAGACTTCTGTGACCAAATGTGTAGGAGTTTCTCTTCTCTCCACCAACACGCAGCATGACACCAGCTGGGTATCCTCCAATTCAATTCCAACACCATCTACCTAGAGAGAGTGTCAGATTCCACAGGCTGAGGGCTCAGTCCCCAAGACTGCCCTCTCACCATGCACACCAGTGACAAGTCTGAGCCTCTGGGACTTCTGAACAACTGGTTTCAAGTGGTGGGTCCCACGATCCCCTTTTTGGGTTCAATTAATTTGCCAGAGGGGCTCACAGAACTCAGGGGATCACTGAGTTACATTCACTGGTTTATTCTAAGGGATGTTGCAAAGGATACAGATAAAGAGATGAATAGGGTGAGGTATGGGGGAAGGGACCTGAAGCTTCCATGCCCTCCCTGGGTGCACCACCCTACTGGAACCTCCACATGTTCAGCTATCAGGAAGCTCCTGGAACCCAGTCCTCTTGGGTTTTTTGTTTGTTTGTTTGTTTGTTTTTTCGTGAGACCGAGTCTCACTCTGTCGCCCAGGCTGGAGTGCAGTGGCGTGATCTCTGCTCAGTGCAAGCTCCATCTCCGGGGTTCACGCCATTCTCCTGCCTCAGCCTCCTGAGTAGCTGGGACTACAGGCGCCTGCCAGCACGCCCGGCTAATTTTTGTATTTTTAGTAGAGACGGGGTTTCACCGTGTTAGCCAGGATAGTCTCGATCTCCTGACCTTGTGATCCGCCCACCTTGGCCTCCCAAAGTGCTGGGATTACAGGCGTGAGCCACTGCGCCCAGCCCCTCTTGGGTTTTTATGGAAACTTCAGCATGTCAGCATTCCTTCCTCCAGGGTAAAGAGCAGGACCCTCTCTGGGGAGGGTCTTAAGACCCATAATCAGAAAGGCAGGGGAAGATTAAAATCCTGCCTTGGCACAGATGAAAGGATGGCAGGAAAAGGGCAGAGAGATTCTGTTTTCTCAGACTTGCTCCTGAAACCTAAAGGACCTAAGATTATAACAAAAGACTAACCAAGGGCTATGGGAGTTATGAACCAGGAACCGTGGATGAAAACCAATACGTATACATATATCATAACATCACAGGCTGCCATAACAAAATATTACAGCCTGACTGACTTCAACAATAGAAATTTATTTTTTTCACAGTTCTGCAGGCTAGAAGTCTAAGATCAAAGTGCCATCAGGGCTGCTTTTTTTGGTGTCTTCTTGCACATATGGTTTCTTCTCTGTCAATGGGTGGAGAGAGAAAGAGAGACCACTCACTTTTTTTTTCTCCTAAACACACCAATCCCATCAGATCAGGGCTCTACCCCTAGAACATCATTTCATCTTAATTACCGCGCTAAAGGTCCCATCTACAAATACAGTCACGTATGAAGTATTGTGCATAGGGCTTCAACATATACATTTTGAAGAGACATAATTCAGTCCAAAATATTTCTGATCATATTTGTTATGATCTCATTTATTGTTTCAGGAAACATTCTCATTTCATCCCCATTCTCTGTTTGCCCCTTGTTAGGCCTTTATTTCTTATACCTGAGCTTTCCACACATATTTATTATACTGGTAATCTCTGAAGTTTTGGGGAAAGGCCCAACAGCAGTCTCAAAAGATTTTCATTACCTTCAATTTTCATAGACCTTATTTTCCTGCACTGAACACCCTCCCTCCAGGATCTCAGTTTTGGAATTCTGCTTCCAGGCAGAGACCATTTCTAACAAGCACCTGCCACAACATGCCCATGGTCCTTCCACAATAATCAGGTATCATCAATTGTAGATTTACAGAGTGGAATCTGGGGCAATATTCCATGTAGGAGATGAAACTTTATCTGTACCAGCCACACTAGTTGTATCAATGTGTTATCTTTCTTTAAAACAGCGTCTTATCATGCAATAGCAAAGAAGTAAATGTGGTTGCGTTGTCACTGACTTGACCTTTTCTTCTAACATTCTGGTGGTCAATTCAGGGCATATATGCATGGTATGTGTTCAGTGACTGTTGGTTCTGCTTAAAATTCATTGTGACAAAAGAAGGAAGATATGTAACATACAGATAAACCAAAACTAACTGAGTTGCATGTGACTGCTTTCCTGACAGCCTGTACATTGTTCATTATTACACTGTCATTACAATGATGACTAACATCTGTATATTGCTTTCAGTCATGCACTTTTTATTGCTCCACATAATAATTTTGCAAAGTGAGACACAGACATAGGTAGTTATAGGACCTGGCTAGGATCATGCAGCTATTAAGTGGTTGAACTGAGCTTAAACCTAGTTGTTTCTAAACCTCAATTTATTAATTAATTTACTCCAGATTGACTGCATGTCAGACTCTGGTAAGACAGTGGCGAGCAAAAAAAGTCACCATCTCTGTCTTTGGGACAGATCAGGCTACAGATACATACAAACATGAATATGGCGATTACAAATAGACTGTATAGTTGCAACCCTGAGAAAATCTGCTTGTGGGGTGGGGGGTCATAATAACTAGTAATAGAGAACCTGACTTTCTTTAGAGAGGTTAGGACATTAAAATCCTGTATGTTTTCAATAAATAGGTTTGCTCTTATTTGGGCATTTGACTAGCCATTCAATTAACCTGTTTGTTATGCTGAATAATCTATAAACTGATTAATATGCCAGTCTCATTCTTTTCAATTACCTTGGATTAAAGACAAACAAAAATGTACAAAAACAAGAGAGAGCGCTTCAGTTTTTACCATAAGTATATATTTCAGATAAAGTTCCAAAAACCTCAGACAGAGCGTAGGTCCAAATCGGCCCTCATCCCTTAGTGGGAAGGTAAGCACACTTCATATTAATTGGGGTTCTTACCAAGGCTGTGATTGACTGAGAGAATTTCTCGTATCAACACAGGTACCACAGAAATCAAGGGAGCGATCAGAATTCAGGCTATACAGAGAGCCATGGTAGTGAAATCAGAGAAGACTATGTGATTCACTGAGGAAGGTCAGAGAATGGTATGACAGGGAAAAAGAAAAAGGTGGTTAGAGGCAGATAGAGATAAGAGAGCCTATAATAAAGACTTAAGGTTATTGGAAATAATTTCTAATCCTCTTTAATAAGTGCCATTACAATGATAGTTAAGCATATTAATAACATGCATCCAATTTCCAAAAAACTATTTCTGGTTTGAAACATATTTTACTTTTTTGTTAAGAAGTATTGTTTTGTCTCAAACTAAAAACATCTGAAACATGTCTCACTAAGTCCAGCCAATAGGCTTTATAGCCAGTTTTGATGTCTGATATCAATACTACGGAATGTATGTGTGACTGTAAACACGATCCCATCAACCTTACAGAGTGACAGACACACCTGAACTTGCCCTTAGTAGCTCATCGCTGAAAGCCAGATCTAAAGATCACACCCATGTTACACATGTTTATATTCATTACACTTTAGGGTATGATATTCCTCAATTCATCACTCACTTAACATTGTAGTATTTTTGTTTCTTTTAGAGCTATTTTCTTTAAATATCAAGAGATACCCTTGTTCCTCTGAGGTTACAACACTTGAAATCTAAATATTTGTTTACCGTCTTTTTTTTTTTTTTTTTTTTTTTTTTGAGATGGAGTCTTGCTCTGTCACCCAGGCTGGAGTGCAGTGGCACGATCTTGGCTAACTGCAAACTCCGCCTCCTGGGTTCACACCATTCTCCTGCCTCAGCTTCCCGAGTAGCTGGGACTGCAGGCGCCTGCCACCATGCCCGGCTAATTTTTGTGTATTCTTAGTAGAGACAGGGTTTCACCATGTTAGCCAGGATGGTCTTGATCTCCTGACCTCGTGATCCACCTGCCTCGGCCTCCCAAAGTGCTGGGATTACAGGCCGCCACACCAGGCCTTGTTGACTGTCTTTACATTATTCATGTTTATAGAAATATCAATAATAAGAGTTTTCTTCTTTACAAGAAAGGTTTTTGTTTTGCTCTCATAATTTACCCAGAGGCATATCTATTATTTTCTTTCAGATACAGTTGTATGTTCATATTTTTATGATCAGCATATCGTCTCATAATTCTCTTACCTTTTCAAACCATCCATTCAATATGATATTAAATACCTACTTTATGCTCACTATTTATTAATCATATCATCATGTTAACTTTTTCTCTCTTTAAAAAGATTTATTTTTTCGTGATATAAAAGAACTCAGAAAAACTAAAAGCCCATGCCTACAAGCAAGTAGTTAACAGAAAAGCTTTCTGTAATATATGATTCTAACATACTAAAAGAAAATTGCATTGAAAACAATGTGGTCTAACTAATAAGAAATACATTTGAAATTGAAAATTAAATGTACTTTTGCATATCCTGAGATGCTACTTCACTTGCCTCATTTGCATGCAAATAAGGGTTCAATAACTATTTTAATTGCTATATTCCCCCCAAAAGCAAGGAAAGAAGATTCAAAATATATGTATTATTTTCTATGAGAAAGAATGTTAATATTCACCAAATAATTACCTAATTTACATAGTGATTAGACTCATGTGCAACAAAGTATTTTTTTTATAAATATACAGAGGGAACATTAGATGTGAAATTTTACAAGTGAAATAACAAGCAACTCTAATAAGGAAAATTGTATGCAGGTGAAACACTTCTAGTACATTATTTTTAGTATAACTTTATTACTAATGTCAGAATAATAAGTCAAATCCTTAAGCATTCTGTGCATCACATTTGGTAGGTGAGAGGGGAAAAGCAAATATACTTAAAAAAATATTGAACATGATCAAACACATCTGAAAGAGAGAGATTCCTCAGGGAAGAATTTCCACCTACATAATTTCAAGTGGAGTAATCTATTTTCTAATTAGCAAGGAAAGAATCCCCTGTATATGACCTTGAATTCTAAAATATTAGCTCAGAGGGAATATTTACAATCCAAAGGCTCAGATGCATAATGCAAATGCGGACATGACTTTTACTGTTGTTAAGGTTCTTTTTAAATCATTCTTAGAAATAATCAGCCTATGTTGACTGACATTTATAGTATGGAAATTGGCTGGAATACAAATGCAATGGTGTTTGAAATTAGAAAACACATTACTGAGGAGGCAGGTTAAATATTTGTGGTGTACAAAGCCATTTTTCTTGGTACACCCAATACCTTTGTTCATTTTGATCAAGCTTATATACTAAATGAGTTTTATAAACTTGAAATTATTTTAGTTTGTTAATGCTACTCCTTCTGTCATTTTATTTGCAGTTTTATTTGTTTCATAGGAATGTGTTTTTCAGCTTTCAACATTTTAAGTATAAAAAAGAAGAAAGACTTTAGGATTTGAGCTTGGAGAATTTGTCTGTTAAAAATGTTAAGTGAACAACCAAGTGCTTGAATCAATGAAGAGCAAACTGACAGTCCTGATTATAAATAATCTATTCATTTATTTGTGTGTATATAGTGATTTAGAAACAATAATTATAAGATGAACAGTGAAACTGAGCAGTGAAAATGGAGAATGAGGAATGAAGAGGGAGGCTTGATGAAAATTTCCATTTCATGACCTTTTCGCCCAGAATCTGGGACAAAATAAAAATATGGGGCTTTTTGGAGAATAATGGGAGACTGCCTACACTGCTTTGGGAACTAAAATTACAAGAGAGAGGCCACCATAATAAAAAGTATCTGGATTTGGAGTCAGCCACCTGAGTTGGAAGCCTGCCTTCTTCATTCAACCTCTCTGACTCTAGGACATTACCATTCTGAAGCTCAATTTTACATGAAATGGGAATAAAAGTAGTTTCTTTCTTATTGTGAGGATGAAAAGAGATAATTAAAAAGCATTAAGTCTGTGTAACATGGCCAAGTTAATAAGTAATGGCAAATTACTTGAAGGCCCAAGGAACATGGGGTGTTTCTCCCTTCAGCAACTGACTTCCTGATCTTTTGGATGCAAAGATTCTGCATCTGTTATGGTTTCTATCATATGATTGAGACAGAAAGTGGACATTTAACATCCCCAGGGCACAGGTCAAAGATTCATGTATTTTCAAATAGTAAATTAGTGCAAAACTGTGAACTAAAAGTCTGTATGATTATAATTTACTATACATGATACAAACTGCATATTTATCTAAATAGTCATTCATGTGTTCACTGTTCATGAGATAATGCATACCCCTGGCATAAAGTTTCATTGTACCTGACAGACAGTAGCAGCTGAAAGTTATCAGAAATGCAAATTTTGTAAAAGTGGAAAAATGTGCAAAAATCCGTGAACTTCATGGCCAGGCTTGGTGGCCATGTAATCCCAGCACTTTGGGAGGTGAAGGTGGGTGGATCACTTGAGGTCAGGAGTTTGACACCAGCCTGGGCAACATGGCGAAACTCCGTCTCTACTAAAAATACAAAAAATTAGCAAAGGATGGTGGCACATGCCTGTAATCCCAGCTATTCGGGAGGCTGAGGCAGGAGAATCACTTCAACCCAGGAGGTGGAGGTTGCAGGTGAGCCAAGATCGTGCCACTGCACTCCAGCCTGGGCAAAAAGTGAAACTCTGTCTTAAAAAAAAAAAAAATCTGTGAACTTTCGAACTTCAGACTATTCTAAAGCATTGAAGAAATCCCTGTGTCGGGAAAAGTACTCCTGTACAAACTTCTCCAGGGAATGGGATTAATAGTGGGAATACATTCACATAATTCTACAAGGATTTAGTAATCTTGATATAAAAACCAAAAAAAGTACATTGCAGGCCAAGCAAAACACTGGTAAGCTGAATCCAGTGGTACATAATGTTGTGACCAAGTCTAGTTTTCCCAAAGAATGCAAGGCCTTAGGATTAGAAAACTATAAATACGGCAAGCCTTCATATTAAAAGATTAAAGGAGAAAACCCACAGATGCAGGAAAAGCATCTGATATAATTCAACACTCTTTCATCATTAGAATTCTTCGCACACTAACATTAAAAGGGCATTTTCTTCACTGAATAACTGATGTCCACAAAATCCTCAGTGAAAAAGGGACCATTCAAAGCATAGTGTTAAAACAATGGTTTATTCTAGAAAACTGCATTTTGAAAAGCCTGTTTATTCTTTACAAAGTATTTGTCATGAAACTCGGAGCAAATGTCATAAATTGTGCTACAGAATCATAATCTTTATAATGGGATGTTGTCTGACCCCTGTCTAACTTAACGAGATGAATTCAATTAAAGGAGAAAGAAGTTAATCTATCCTTATGCAAGCAGTCAATGCAAGAAACAGAAAGGATTGTTGTTTCGCACACTTGTGCTGATACTTATTCTATATCTTGCACCTTAATTACTCCTGCTGTCAAAGTAGACAATATTGCCTTAGCCCTTGGTACTCTGTGGTGGGAGACCCAGCAGCACTGGCATCAATTGGGAGCTTATTAAATATGTAGAATCTCAATCACACTGCACCACAGACCTATTGAATCAGAGTCTGCATCTTAATAAGGTCTGAGGTCATGTATCTGCACATTGTAAAGCATGAGAGGCACTGCTCTAGGCTACTGATCTTCCTGCCTTCAGAAATACCATGAGGATCATTAACCCACACGAAGAATTTTACTTGTGGAATACAGTATATGATATTTGCTAATGTTTTCTGATTTATGTTTGTTTAAGGTATGGGAATTTGTTGACAACTTTCCCCATCAAGGTAAGAATAATAGGTAACAATGATTAAACCATTTAACTGAGCAGAGCACTGTCTTAGCATTTTAAATGCATTTATTCACTTCATTTTTCCAACTCCCTTGTGAGTTACATTGCTCCATGGTACAGAAGAGGAAACTATACACAGAGACTTTATGTGACTTGTACAAGATGAAAGCTACTGAAAGCCAGAGTAAGTTTCGGAGCCAGCGAGTCCTATTCCCTGGCCTGCAGTATTAACTGCTCTTTTAAGCTACCTCTCTAATAAGATAAACATATTCTTAAACTATCAGATTCTTTTCACTTTTTTCCCTACATGTATTTGTATATTTAACAAAGTTTAATAGGTGGCATATATTAACTTTTTAACTATGTACTTGTTATTCTTTAAACATTTGCATTATTTACTCAATTTCACAACTTTATCATTTTAAAACTTTATTGTTTTGTTTTACAGATGAGGAATTTTTTTATTCCTCCTAGAGTTGAAAAATAACTGAGCCCCAGAGACATTATTACTTGCTTAGCCTCAGACAAGTTATACATTAAAGAGTAAAAACTAGTAAAATAACCTAGCAGAGATTACTCTTATAGAGGTGTGAGTAGTACTATTCCTCTGTTACAGAATTTTCTATTTGGCATACTCTTGAGCAACCTCATGAAGCAACATTTCCTATTAGTAAGGTCAGGGATAACAACTCCTCAAAAGCAGTTTTAATTTTAAAATTCCTGCCTGCTCAACCCCTTATGTCCATCTTCTAAGCTGTAGAACCAGCCCTGAAAACAAAGCTACTGTAATAAAGAATGCCAAAGTTTTGGGGGCGGTACAGGACAGAGGGCGAATGTTAGCAGAAGGCATCGCCATATTCTATAATAAGGCTGTCCACTAGAAATACAGTGTAAGCCACGTAAGTATTTTTAAATTTTCTGGTAGCCACATTGAAACAAAGAAAAAAGAGAAATAGGTGAAGTTAATTTTAATAATATATTTTATTTTACCCATTATGTGAAATGTCATTTTAATATAGTCAATATTAAAAATTTTTAGAGAGACACTTTGACTTTTTATACTATGTCTTTGAAATTGGCGTATATTTATAGCACATCTCATTTCCAATAGCCACATTTCAAATGCTCAGTAGCCACCTGTGGCTAGTGGCTACCATATTGGTGCACTGGGCAGCAGAGTTATAAAGGCTGTAAGCACCTGTGAAAAAATAAAATCAGGTTTGGATAAAGATAAGGAGGGAGTAGGTCAGCAAGTATGTCTATTATCAAAGGAATAATCCTCAAGGACATCATTGTTCATATATGCTACCACTCTGTTTCTGTCCAAGGTTCATGCAGTGCTAGTGCTGACATTCTTCCTCTTTTAAAAATTGGGGCTAAATAGCATATGATGCTTTTATTCTGATTTTCCCATTTCTTATTATGATCATAATTTCAATTAAAAATTATTTTTTAAATGATCTTCATAATGGCACAATACTGTGTATGGATTTTTGACCATTTCAAACAATTTTCTAGCCTCTGCCGTTTGGTATAATTTTTCTTATTATCAACAATACCTTGATAAAGTCCAGCTACAGAATTCTTGGTGCTCATGTCTGATTAGACATACACATTTGTAATGCCCTCCACAATATGACCAAATTGCTCCCCATAAAGATGGCACCAAAGGCAACTGTCACAGGTGCTCCTTTGCCACTCTGCCCGACTCTGTTGTACTTTGTGAAATATCTTTGCTACTCTAAAGGATGACATATTGGATTTTTCTTCTGATTTTTGTCTCCTTAAGTAAAGGTTAGGAGAAATGTGTGTGTGGGGGGCGTACAGGTCATTTGTATTTTTTCTTTCATGCGCTTTCTGTTTTTGAACTTGGGCATGTTCTTTACATATTGAGGGAATCAATTTGTTTTTAATTAGAAATGTTGTAAATATTCCCCAGTTTGAAGAAAGATATTGTGACACTTTTTGGCATTTATAATTAAATAGTAATATCTATCAATATTTTTTCAATTGGTCTATCTCTTCAATTATATATTTACAAAGAATTGTTTTCTTCCACAAATTAAATATTAATTTATATTTTCTCTCTGCTTTTTTATTGTTTCTTTTTCTGTACTTAATGTCTCAACCTATCTGAAATTTATTTTTTGAGAAAGTATGTAAATGATGTGTAACTTTAAGGTTCTGAAAAGTATTAGTGGATTCCACTAGATACCTAAATATTTGTTAATTGCAGAAGCTCTTTGCTGCATAGAATTAGGTATTTAGTCAACTTAAAACAATTATTTCATTTTCTTACTATGTTTTGAGCCAGGTTTTGCATAAGGCCTGTGGGAGTCATTTCCTAAATCAGGCCCAGATGATGTAAGAAGTGTGAAGTTTAGAATTAACACAGTATTTCCTTTACTTGGTCAGCGATTGAGCAAGTTAGAGAAGTAGGGAGGGATGGGAGAGAGCCTCGTGAAAGGCAAATGTAGTGATGTGTTTTTGCTTTTTTTTTTCTTTTCTTGTATTAAAACATTTCTATACTGGCACAGTGTCTTTCTTTTTTATTTTTATTTTTACTTTTTTGGCCTGGCATTGCTTTCTTCATCTATAGCCAGCCCTGATAGAGCCTCTGTTTGCCCAGAATAAAGAGCCAAACCAGCTGTAAACAGGTGATAAGTGCCTCTGTGACCTCCAGACCTGATGTACCCAGAACCAGAATTACTTTCCAGAGCCCCTAGTGGAATTCAGATGTCCTCCAGAATTCTTACTTCCTCATGTTCCCCAACCCTAATGCTTCCCCAAACATCATTCACACAGGCACACACACCGCCCTCAATCCTTCAAATATCATTGTTCAGAAATACTTGGAGCCTTCTGCCAGATTTCCCTTTCTGTGCTTCCCTGGTCCACAAGGCCTTCCCATGAGAAGAGTCATAGCCCATACCTCAATTCAACTTTGTTTTGAATAAATGGATCCAGAAGAAATGCTTTACAATTCTTGGCAGTGGATTTTTCTTCTTTCATTTCAAAGAATTTTTTTCTATTTTTATGTTCAATTGATACATGTAATTAAGAATCCATAAGTGAGTGAGTTAAATGCCTGTTATATAGTTATCATATTACTAACTGAAAGATAGGCTATCACTGTGATATTAACCATACTGTTAATGCATAACTATTTAGCATTCTCTTGTGCTAAATGCATGTATGTCAGAAAACAGCGCCGAAGGAGTCCCAAGCACAAATCCATCATCATGTTTGCAGGTGTCATTTCAACAGCATCGAAAGGGCCAGTGCATCTGAGTATTATTTCACTTGCTGTCAGCGATATCAGCAGCATAAAGGAAACTAGAGTTAAAATACGAATTGTCTTGCTGGCATACATGGAAGGCACAGCCTTTCTCTGTCAGTGCCCATGCATTTTGTTCATATTTTCAGTAAAATGATGCAAACTTTCATTTAAAAAGCCAGTTGATAGAGCAATATCTGACTTTATTGAGACTGTGATGATGGAAAAAGCCATTCCTTCTGGATGCCATTCCTGGGGTTTATGCTGCACACCTCTTCAATAATTGTGTATGGCAATAACAAGTCAGTGGCTGTGTGGGATAATTGGCTCCTCCTCACTGCATTTGTGGGGAGTCAATCTGAGAATTACTGAGATCGAACAAAAGCCACAGCGAATGCAAGACTAGGCCCACATTGATCTAGTAGAAATAGGATGGATCTGTCAGGGCCAGGCAGAATGCATCCTGCTCCTGGTGAGAGAATTCTTTCCACAGAAAAGGGAAATAATTATTCCCTCCAATGAAACACTTGAAACAAAAATACACACACTCACAACGGATTCTAAGAGAACCTTGAACGTGGAACAGAAAGAACATCTTTTTCTTCTTTTGCTTTTTCTTTTTGTTCTCTTTCTTAATTCTTCTGGTAGTTCTTCCTTAGGAAAACGTTACAATGGGATTCTCTCTGGGTCTTTCTGCATTTCCCTCAGTCTGTCTGGGCATTTTTATTTTTTAATCAGTGTATTCACATTTCCAAGCCCGGTTTAAAAGCCTTCAGTTGAAACGGAAAGAGGCAGATCCATTTGGTATACATGAAGGAGGCAGTAATTGCATTGGAAAACCCCAAAACACACAAACCAGATCCAGCTGTAACCAAACATGTATGGAAAGCAGCGCACAGAATTTTCCATGGCCTGCAGCAACGATGTTATACAAACAGTCCCCGAGGTGTCTCAGCAGCTACACATGCCGTGGAAAGAAATTAGATACCAATGCTAAAGACTTACCAGATGGATATTCAATCAGTGCTTTTGTATAAAATTCTCTCTCTAAATTGAATATTGAAGAAATAGCTACATTTAACTTACAAAATTAACATCTTTGTTTTCTATCATTCCTCCCTGACATGAATGCTCAGTGCTGAGAATACTAAGGACAGAGTGCATGTTATACACATTTATAGGACACATGAAAATAAGCACTAAGGATAGCCCGAAAATAATTGGCCTAAAGCAAATAGGAAGTAGATTATGAGAAAACGCACAAATGAATAATTATTTTAAATGCCCTCAATTCAAGATTTGAGATAACAAATTGCCTAATAAGAAACAGACTTTTTTTTTTTAAGTCACTGTCTACTTAAAGAATGCTGCAACTTTCTTCTAACAGTCTTAATGTTGCTGTCCAGAGAAATACTCGTAAACTTTATGTTCTGGTTGCACTAAATCCTGACTTTTCTCTTTTTTTAAGTCCCTTGATACCGAGTCTCCACCTTACCCAGATGAACATTTTTTTTTTTCAAGATGGAATTTTGCTATTGTTGCCCAGGCTGGAGTGCAATGGCATGATCTCGGCTCACTGCAACCTCCGCCTCCTGGGTTCAAGCGATTCTCCTGCCTCAGCCTCCCGAGTAGCTGGGATTACAGGCACATCCCACCACACCCGGCTAATTTTTTGTATTTTTAGTGGAGACAGGGTTTCACCATGTTGGCCAGGCTGATCTCAAACTCCTGACTTCATAATCTGCCTGCCTCGGCCTCCCAAAGTACTGGGATTACAGGCGTGAGCCACTGCGCCCAGCCCCGGATAAACATTTATTCCTATCAGTCTATTCTCCACTGGGTACACTGTGTGCTATTATTAGTACTGCTAGACATGGTTTCCTTAGAAATGCACTCTCTTTTACCTCAACATGTTCAAAGTTTGCCCAGCCTTAGAGACCTCTGTAATTACTCCAAGCCTCAGTGATCGCTTGTCTGAAGTTTCCCACTGTAGAAACAATTCTGGTATTCTTTAGGTTTGGGGTCTAGGATAAGGCATTCTCAATTTAGACAATGCAAGATGGCAGAGTTGAAGGAATAGCCAGCTTAAAATATGTAAAAATAGGCACTGTTAAAAATGTGGGAATAGAGTTAGTATAGATGCTATAGTAAGAAAACTGTAGAAAATCTGTGACCAAGGAAGAGCTTGAGCCATCTGCATTGTGCTGGAGTTGAAAGAGGAGGTTGGAAAAGAGGAATAAATTTGAGTTTTCAGAGTTTAATCTATTGTAGACTATGCCCAAAGTGTTGTAATCAGAAGAAGTTATTCTGGCTCCTACCTCTTTTATTTCACTGTCTATTGGAATTAGCCATGATACCAATGGGCGTCGAATACTCAGTCACTTACAATGGCTGTAGGTCCACACATGGGTGTGTGGGTTAGAATGAAATTGTGTGCAGCTACACATAGAAGAAATGTTAGGAGAGACAAGAATCTATAAAGATGGGGGTTTCAAATGGAATACTCTCGAGATTCTTATTGGGACCTTAATGGCCCCAACTAATAATGGTATTTCACATTATGGCATGGACTATAGGCTCACTGGCAAGCAAGTCAGAATGATTATCATGTATACGTGTCATAGTGGAAAACAAAACAGGTATTAGGGGATGAGATCTATCTAAGTTGAATCAGGAGTGCCAAATCATAAGCACTACATTGTAAGTCATGAATTCTTAGCTAATAATAGCTATTAGTTAACCATACATCTTCATTTGCTCTAAGCAGTTCCAGTTCATACCTTTTGTCCTTGTGTAATATTGGTAATACCCTTCTATTCCCAAAGTTATTTCTATTTGCAAGATAAATAATGTGACCACATTACCAGTCCTTGTTGAGCACTTATTACACAACTGGTAATGTTCTGAATGTTTTATGAGTTAATTTCTTTGAACTGCAAAACAGCCTTGTAAGATATGTAGTAAAATTATTTTTATGTTTCAAATGAGGAAACAGAAGCCCATGAATTGCCTTTCAGATGGTCATACACTATGGAGGTTAAGGCAGCTGAGCCTTATAGGACACCAGCTAGAGAATTCAGATAGATTTTGCTGAATTCTAACAAAGAATTATTGAGAATAGATTTTAAATTATGTTAAATGTGTAGTAGGGAGTTAGGGTCATTGGAGATTTTTCCCCAAAGTTAAGCAGATCTAAATATTTAAATAAATGACACCCAATGATTTATAAACAAAGACCTCTATGATACTCCCACAGGAAGACCACAGATACCTGGAGGAGGCTGGGGTGGGAGATGGAGTGAGTAGTTTCAGCTGCTAAAAGGAGCTGCAGCAGGTTCTCTAGAGCCCATCAACATAACTGCACTGCTTCTTGGCATAATAGAGAGTATCTTACAGATCTTTAGTTTCCTATAGGTGCTAGAAAATGAAAATGTTTAGAATATGGTAGAAGTAGACAGTCAAAAATATAAGTGCTTTGGAGTAATTTGTCTTAAGCAAAGAAATACGGTGAATTAATATCTATACACTTCTGGGTAGCTGTTAACCTCAATGAATTTAGTAGCTATTTGTAAGATATTAGCAATGGAGTTGTTCCTTTGGGTACTGCAATTGGCTCTCCTAAGCCTGCTTATGAGATGTGTACTCATAGGTGTTCAATAAATTCTTTATTGGAATGATTTTTGGAAGTGATTAAATTTATGCACACATATATCCATGAATAATCTTGCCATAACAAATTTGCTTTTAAAAACTTGTAAAGATTTAGCAGCTCAATTTTAACGAGTAGCGCATTGGGAATGAATTACGTTTGTTAAAGCAACGGTCGATAATATTTAATAATCTGGGGGCCCCAAAACCATGACTATTCTATGCAAGTTTGTTCTTGTCGTGAGAGTGTGCAGTTTTCCAGGTCACAGTCATTCTATTTACATAAAATTCTCAATCTTTGTTAATGAGTACATTCAAAGTTTATACATCATCATGGCGTTTCTCAGAAAGTTTTGCTTTTCCTCCAGAATGGTCTGTAATTTGTTGGCTGCCTGCTTTGCTTAATGCCAGAGGAATGATTTCCATGTTTCTGCTTCATGCTGCACATTTTCAACTCCTACCTCAATGTTCTGTGCTTATTTATTTATTATTTATTTTTGTCTTTTTCTGACCTATTGCGTCTGTGTTCTACCCCTACTTTGGAAGTAGACTTTACAGTTTTGGTCAGAATAGTAATTTTCTGAAGAGGTTAAAAAGCTGACAATGGATTTACCCAATGGGAAGAACATAAATGTCATTGTGTTGTCTATGTAATAACATAAACATTAACCTTGTTTGCAAGAATTCAGGAACACCGGCCAGGCATGGTGGCTCAAGCCTGTAATCCCAGCACTTTGAGAGAGGCCAAGGCGGGCAGATCACTTGAGGTCAGGAGTTTGAGACCAGCCTGGCCAACATGGCAAAACCCTGTCTCTACTAAAAATGCAAAAATTAGCCAGGTGTGGTGGCATGCACCTGTAATCCCAGCTACTCAGGCGGCTGAGGCAGGAGAATTGCTTGAACCTGGGAGGTGGAGGTTGCAGTGAGCAGAGATTGCACCACTGCACTCCAGCCTGGGTGACAGAGCAAGACTCTGTCAAAAAGAAAAAGAAAGAATTCGGGAACACATATAACAATCTATAACAATGTAGCTTTAATTAACGTCTATCTTCTGTAAATTATAGTGCTTATAAATGGGCATTTATACAGATCAACCTAATGCTTTATTAGTAAAGCATTCTATTTATTATTGTCTTATTAGTAAAGCATTCTATTTACTAACTGTCATTTTATTATTAAATACCGTTATGTTTGTTTTTAATGCATGAAGTAACAATGTCCTTGTTTCCTCAAATCCAGCATTGAGAGCGCAGTTCCTCTTTGTCATGTCTTTAATGTGTGAAGATACAATGACCTGTGGTACATTATGCTAGAAATGATTAACACGCCAACATCCATCCCCTTACTTCTGTTAATACTCCAACTCTCCTTCCAGGTATCACTTCTCATTCATGAAGTATATATGTTTCAAGGAAAGAGGGTTAACCCTCAGCCTCAAAAGTGTGTCCTGGTTGATCCATGTAAATGTGAGCAACCTAGTATCCCTTACTACCACAGTAGATTCAAGTTGGTAGCATCAACATAGCCATTAGGACTTTTGTTTTATACTGATAAAAGGTAAAACCTTGGAGGTAATTCAAGATATCCTATGCATTTTTTTTCCTCCTTACTAACTACTTACAAATAAAACAACAATTTAAATATCAGAGGACATCAGCAAAATGAATGAGTAGCAGTACCTAATACTTATCCAATCCCCAACCCTCCAAAGAAAAGACCAAAAGAACCAATAAAAAACTACATTTCTACAAGAGCATTTGAAGTAAAGCACTGAAGTACAACAAGGGAGTGGTTAATACCTCGTGAAATGTGGAGACTCAGGATGGCCTCATACAGAAAGCAGTGAAACACTGAGCCACTGCTGCCCATCTCTGTCAGGATCAGCACAGAATAGGAGGCACTTTACACTCTGGAAATAAAGGTAAGCAGGCAGCATCCAGCAGCCCCCATTAATGCTGTGGACATCTTCAGTCTTTGCTGCTTTAAAATACGGCAGTCCTCAAGGAACTTGAGCCCAGTTTGGGGAGCTTCCAGGAGCTTGCATGGCTGCATTGGCCAGGAGAAGGAGCCCATGTTGTGCCCCCTCCCCTTTGTGACCCAAGCTGCTGCTGCACATGCCATCTTGTAACTGAAACCAAATAATCTGTCTACTGCTGAAAGTATTGACAACAACAGATAGATGGATAACTCAATAGCAAAAAACAAATAATCCAATTTTAAAACGGGCAAAAGATTTGAATAGATGTTTTTCAAATGAAGACATACAAATGACCAACAGGTGGGTATATGAAAAGTGCTCAACATCATCAATACGGTTTTGTTGTGTCCCCACCCAAATCTCATCTTGAATTATAGTTCCTATAATCCCCAAGTGTCATGGGAGGGATCCAGTGTGAGGTATTTGAATCATGGGGGTGAGTTTTCCCATGCTGTTCTCATGATAGTGAATAAGTCTCACAAGCTCTGATGGTTTTATAAAAGGCAGTTCCCAGCACATGCTGTCTTGCCTGCCGCCATGTAAGATGGGCCCTTGCTTCTCCTTTTGCCTTCTGCCATGATTGTGAGGCCTCCCCAACATGAGAATGGACTAATGCAATCACTAACCATCAGAGAAATTCAAATCAAAACTACAATGATATATTATCTCATACCAATTAGAATGACTGCTATCAAAAAGACAAAAAATAACAAATGATGCCATGGATATGGAAAAATGGAAACTCTTATACACTGTTGGTGGGAATGTAAATTAATACATCCATAAAGGAAAACAGTATGGAGGTTCCTCAAAAATTTAAAAGTAGAATGTCCATATGACCCATCAATCCCACTATTGGGTATACATCAAAAGGAAATGAAGTCAGTCTGTCAAAACCAGGCACAGCAAGAAAAATACCACATAATCTCACTCATATGTGGAATCTAAAAGAGTAGATCTCAGTAAGTAGAGAGCTTAATAGTGGTTACTAGAGACTGGGGAAAGAAGTAGAGAAGGGGAGATGGGGAAAGGCCAGTCAGTGAATACAAAGTTATATTTAGGTAGGTGCAAAAGTAATTGCAGTCTTTGTAATCAAAGTCATGGCAAAAACCACAATAACTTTTGAAGCAACCTAATAGGAGGAATAAGTTCTGATCTCCACTGCACAGTAGGGTGAGTATGCTTCATAGTATTGTATTGTATATGTCAAAATAGCTAGGAGGGAGAATTTTGAATGTTCTAACCATTAAGAAATAATAAATATGAGATGATTAACATATGAGATGAAATATTCTGATTTGATTATTATACAATGTGTACATGTATTAAAACGTCATGCCAAGCCCCATAAATATATGAAATTATCATGTGTAAATTAAAAACTAAAGAAAAAATTAGATATCCGATATATATATAGAGATATATGTAGATATATTTGTATATTTATTTGAGAGCAAGGCTGTATAGCTGTAGTAGCTGCCACAAGATATAAAACTCTCTGAAAGCATTTTGGGCTTAGATATATTTGTATATATGTGTAAATATATATATATAGAGAGAGAGAAAGAGTGTCAAATATCTATAAATGTGTGTGTGTGTATATATATATATATATATATATATATATATGGTCAAATATCTCTACAAATATATCTAAGGCAAGCCTAAAGTACTTTCAGAGAGTTTGGGATATATGATGTACAGAGATCTACACATCATATATCCTAGATATATTTGTATTACTAATTACATTAGAAGTAAATAAACTAAAATTTTCAACTAAAAGAGTGATATTATCAGACTGAATAACCAGACCAACCAAGTACTTTTTAAAGTGCTTTAAAAAAGCACTTTAAATGTACAGAAACAGACAGAGTGACAGTAAGAGGAAAGAAGAAATGTAATGTGCACACTAAGCATGAAGAAGATGAGGTGGTTACATGACTTTCAGACCAAGTAGACATCAAGAGAAGTTGCATTACTAGTGATAAAGGGAACAGTTCATAATGATCAAATGACTGATTTATCAAAAAGCCACAACAATCATAAATGTTCGTGCAACTAAAAATAGTATTTTAAATATATGAAAAAATGAAAGAAGGGTAAAATAGGCCAATCTATAATCGTAAGTGGAGATTTAAAAACTCTCTGTCAGTAATATCAAGAAAAAGTAATTTATAGACAAAAAATCAGTAAGGGTATATAAATGATAGTAAAAGTCAAACAATGCAGTCAACCAACTTGACCTAATTGACATTTATACAACATCATAACCAATTACAGCCGAATATACATATATTTCTTTGTGAAATGGTTACCATGACAGATTATATGTTGGGCCATAAAATAAGTTTTAATAATTCTCAAATATTATAATCTTACAAAGCATGTTCTCTGACTTCTACAGAATTTAAATAGAAATCAACAACAACAAAAAAGATTTCTAGAAAGCTACCAATGCAATACAATGTTAGACCAGACAATTTTAAATAACTCACAGGTAAAAGGAGAAATCACAGGATTATTAATTTCACACTGAATAATAAAGAAAAGGCAAGATCAAAGTTTGTGAGATATAGTTATACTAATGCTTAGAGGGAGAGCTGTATGTTTTAATGCTTGTATTAGAAAAAAGGAAAAGTTTGCACAAATGATAAGTTGGTGCATAAGTACTTGCAGTTTTTGGCATTAAAAGTAATGGCAAAACTCTCTCCGTGTAAATTACTGAGGGAGAGTTTTAAATTTGCTCTCCTTTATTTAACTTGCTAAATTGTCACATTAGCAAGCTAAATAAAGGAGAGCAAAGTTAACCCAAAACATATAGAAGAAAACAAATAACAAAGAACAGAAATCAATGAAATAGAAATTAAAGAGAAAAATCAATAAAGCCAAAATTTCTCAATCCAGAATTCTATATGCAGATATATTCTGCTACCCCAAAATTTAAGGAATGTGTCACCTACAAGACTGCACTAAAAGGAATACTAAAGGAAACCTTTCAAAAGGCTATTAAAATGAATAATCCCAAGAAATAGTGCTTAGAAAAGGGCTATAAAAATGTACATTACCAATCTCAAGATTAAAAGAGAAAATATCACTTTTGATTTTGCAGTTGTCAGAGAATTACATTATGAATGACAGATTATCAGAACAACCTTATAAAAATAATTATGACTATCTAAATACAATGGACTTATCCCTTGAAAAACACTACTGAAACTGACACTATCAGAAATAGATCTGAATAGCCCCATATTTTTCAAAACATTTAATTGAAATTAACAAAACATTTCCCAGAAAGACATTCCAAACCCAGTTGTGCAGGTGAATTTCAGCAAACATTTAAGAAAGAAATAAGACCAATATCACCCAAATATTTGCACAAAATAGAGAAGAAAAGAACATTTTCCAGCTCATTTTATAAAGTCAGCATCACACCAATATCAAAACCTGACAAAGACATTATAAGAAAAGGAAAGTTACAGGAAAATATTTCTAGTTAATATACTTCTATATTCTAAGAAGTTATCTTAGAAAATTTATCTTGTATACTTAAAGGCTAAAGTCAATCAATATACTTAGGACTATTTCAAGGGACTTAAGACTTTGAATTCTAGATTGTCCTATGAAAGTTCTGGTTTGGTGCTTGGTGAAAATTAATACTGTGATGAATTAATTTTATAGAAGTTAGTGTTTATTACGATAAGCTCAAAGAAAGACCCTAACAAGAGAAATCAGGCTGGGAATCTTCCATGAACAAGGCTTTGTTAATAGTCTCAGTTCGTTCTGGGAGATACTGTCAGGTAGGTGGCAATGGTGTTTGTCTGTTGAGGGGTGCCACGCCAGATGGCATTCACTGCACTCTGGTTACATGGTTCAACTATATCTATATATAAGAAACCAGTTTAATCATATATGTATGTAACCAGTTGAAACATACATATATATTTATACTCTTACTGAATTTTTGTCTATGTATAATATCTATATAATATATATAAATACATAATGTTTTATATATCTATAAATTTCCTTAAGGGAGAGATTCTGCTTTTTAAAAATATATATCTTATATTAATATATAAAATAAAAACATACATTATACATAGTATATAATGTATATTATACATTATACATAGTATATAGTATATTATACATTATACATAGTATATAGTATATTATACATTATACATAGTATATAGTATATTATACATTATACATAGTATATAATGTATATTATACATTATACATAGTATATAATGTATATTATACATTATACATAGTATATAATGTATATTATACATTATACATAGTATATAATGTATATTATACATTATACATAGTATATAATGTATATTATACATTATACATAGTATATAATGTATATTATACATTATACATAGTATATAATGTATATTATACATTATACATAGTATATAATGTATATTATACATTATACATAGTATATAATGTATATTATACATTATACATAGTATATAATGTATATTATACATTATTATACATAGTATATAATGTATATTATACATTATTATACATAGTATATAATGTATATTATACATTATTATACATAGTATATAATGTATATTATACATTATACATAGTATATAATGTATATTATACATTATACATAGTATATAATGTATATTATACATTATACATAGTATATAATGTATATTATATATTATTATACATAGTATATAATGTATATTATATATTATTATACATAGTATATAATGTATATTATATATTATTATACATAGTATATAATGTATATTATATATTATACATAGTATATAATGTATATTATATATTATACATAGTATATAATGTATATTATATATTATACATAGTATATAATGTATATTATATATTATACATAGTATATAATGTATATTATATATTATACATAGTATATAATGTATATTATATATTATACATAGTATATAATGTATATTATATATTATACATAGTATATAATGTATATTATATATTATACATAGTATATAATGTATATTATATATTATACATAGTATATAATGTATATTATATATTATACATAGTATATAATGTATATTATATATTATACATAGTATATAATGTATATTATATATTATACATAGTATATTATATATTGTACATAGACAAAAATTCAGTAAGGGTATAAATGATAGTAAAAGTCAATGCAGTCAACCAACTTGATCTAACTGATGTTTATATAACATTATGCCCAATTACAACTGAATATACATTTGTTTCTTTGTGGAATGTTTACCATGACAAATTATCTGTTGGGCCATAAAATAAGTCTTAATAATTTTCACATATTATAATCTTGATGACATAGATATTTTATATATGTGTGTGTATATAGTGCTTTAGTGATACATAGGACTATATATACACATACAGATATATTTAGATATATATATCACTCTATCACTCTGAAACTAGACTAATTTATATTCTATAGAACCTATCAATACTAGAAGATGTTTATGTATTGTTTGTTTCTGTTTTTCCTCCTATTGCAATGTAAGTTCCTTAAGGGAGAGATTGTTTTATTTTTTTTAATGCATATTCAGTGCATTGAAAAGTCTTTAGCACACTGAAGATGAAAAATTAATACCACTTGAATGAATGAATAAACATATAAATGAATGTGAGGTATGTTTTCAAGTGGTAAGAATATAAAACTGGAAGAGAAAATTAGAAGCTTGGCATAGAAATATAATATTTGTATCTTTTTGCAAGCCTGCACACAAAAATATGTTTTATTAGTTGTCATTGTCCTGAAAATGTAACTAAAGTTTTTATATTTTAAAAAACCTTTGTGAAGGTGGAAGTACCAGGATTGGTAATATCTTTACTAGAAAACAACTTGAATTAGTCTGTTTTCACACTGCTATAAAGAACTGCCCAAGACTGGGTAATTTATAAAGAAAAATGGTTTCATTGACTCACAGTTCAGCATGGCTGGGGAGGCCTCAAGAAACTTACAATCATGGTGGGAGGGGAAGCAGGCATGTCTTACATGGCGGCAGGTGAGAGAGCGAGAGAGAGAGACACACAGAGAGGGAAAGAGAGAGGGCGGGAAGTGAAAAGGGAAGAGCCCCTTATAAAACCATGAGATCTCATGAGATATCATGAGAACAGGATGGGGGAACCTGCCCCCATGATCCAATCACCTTCCACCAGGTCCTTCCCTTGACACATGGTGATTATGAGGATTACAATTCAAGGTGAGATTTGGTGGAGACACAGAGCCAAACCATGTTACACCTTAATGTGTGTTAACCTACACAAACAGAAAACTGATCAGCACCTAAAAAGGGTTATGTATGGTCCCACCCCAAAGGTGGAGAAAATAGCCAAAATAGAAACATGGAAAAATACTCAAGATACAAGCTTCATAATTTTTCTCAGGGCAAATTGTGGATGAGAGTATAATTAAATCTAATGTCATTAGGATTTTATTGAAACAACGAAACCCCTTTTCCCTCAGCCCTTAAGACTGCTGTATTATGCAATGACAGTTTCTTAAAATGAAAAAAGATCAATCCCACAAATTTTTTAAAAAAATCAATTATCCAATGGGAAAGAGATGGATTACCATTGATTGCATCCTGCCTGTGTTAGAGATGATGGATGGCTGCAGTCACGGCATTGATCTCTGGGAACAGGCTTATACTGTCTTGCATGGCTTATTATGGGGCCACCCACTCAGAGGATGCATACATACACAACAAATTTCACATTTTACATTCTATGAGGGTCTTTTTGGCTATTCTTTTGCTCATACGACTTTGACTGTGTCACAAAAATTAAGCATTGTTACTTGCTTTTAAAAATTTGTTCAGATAAGATGAATATAAAGAACTTTTGGACAGACAGTGCTGTAACAGAATGCGAGAACAGCCATATAAATGATCTTCTGGTAGCGATTGTAGTTTGTTCCAAAGTGAAATGCCTGACACTCATCTTGTAACTCATTCAAATCCTTTATATCTTCAAATAACCAGGGAACATGTGAGATATTACAGGTTTATTCCAACCTGCACCATTTGGGGATGATAAATATTAGCCGTTTAGTTGCAATTTATACACTGTATGAAATAATGCTTATATAATTTTTTGATCGATGACTTGTTAGTTTAGTGGAATATATTGTGACTTCAAGAAGACAATTGTCAATTGACTTTATTTTAATTGTATGTCCTTCCTTGAAAAAAAAGTACTTCAACCTTATCTACTGTTCCAGGAATCACAGAACTCAGAACTCATAACAAAAGCCATTATAGGTTCTAAGATGTATCTACAGTTCCATTGACGTGTTTACTGATGCAGAGGTTTAGTTACACAGCCACCTCTTTTGCTTACTGACCTACTTGCTAATGAGCAAAACAACCAAATGCACATTTAGGGGTTGCTTGTTGGAACTATTTTAAGCATTGTGATGCCAAGTACACAAGACAAATGTTAACTTTTCTTCATAAGCATAATAGCTGTGGTGCTGTTTACACAGAATAAGGAGGACACAAATTTGATGAGTACTCACAAATAGGAAATATATATCTTTTTAATAAACTAACCTAAGTCAATTAGGCCATTCAGCTGATATCAAGGTTTCTTTTTTTGTTGTTTATTATTATTATTTTTGTTTTTGTTTTGCAAATATTAGTAAACTAACCAGGGTTAAGGAAGGAAAGGAGTACCTTCTAAAGAAAAGAACTCTAATTGCAAAGTTTACCAAATGTAGTAACATTTCTTCGTAAATATGTATGGAAGAGTCATACAAGCTGTTCTGTAGTTTGAAATAGTCTTTGACCTAGACTATGATCACGTGAAACTGCCCCTTGAATGAATGGTCTTTCCTTAGACAATAACAACTAAAAATAACTAATAATTGACCTTTTGGCATAGATTAGTATTAACTAGCACATCTTTTTGATACATTTATTTAATACATTTTGATACTAACATATTTAATGCTCAATTACGTTAAGCTGGATTACTGAATAGACATAATAGTTCCACACTGAAAATTTTCATGTGGGGGCACAGTTAAACAACATAGCCATGAGTTACCATCTATCTTGTAAAAAAGTATACAAAAATCAAAGTAAATAGAAACAAACTTCCCCAAGACTCTCTGACAGTCTTCTTTTTTTCTCTGTGTGACACTGGGAAGACAACCTACTATTCTGTTGAGTCTTAACAAAATTAACCCTAAATTTCTGAGAGGTGAAGCCAGACGGGCTTCTGGGTCGGGTGGAGACTTGGAGAACTTTTCTGTCTACCTAAAGAATTGTAAACACACCAATCAGCGCCCTCTGTGTCTAGCTAAAGGTTTGTAAACGTACCAATCAGCACTCTGTAAAAATGTACCAATCAGCACTCTGTGTCTAGCTAAAGGTTTGTAAAGGCACCAATCAGCACTCTGTAAAAATGCACCAATCAGCGCTGTGTCTAGCTAAAGGTTTGTAAACACACCAGTTAGCACTCTGTAAAACCGGACCAATCAGCACTCTGTAAAAATGCACCAATCAGCGCTGTGTCTAGCTAAAGGTTTGTAAACACACCAGTTAGCACTCTGTAAAAACGGACCAATCAGCACTCTGTAAAATGGACCAATCAGCAGGATGTGGGTGGGGCCAAATAAGGGAATAAAAGCTGGCCACCTGAGCCAATAGTAGCAACCTGCTTGGGTCACCTTCTATGCTGTGGAAGCTTTGTTCTTTTTCTCTTCACAATAAATCTTGCTGCTGCTCACTCTTTGGGTCTGTACTGCCTTTATGAGCTGTAACACTCCCTGCAAAGGTCTGTGGCTTCACTCCTGAAGTGAGAGAGACCACAAACCCACCAGAAGAAACAAAAAACTCCCGATGTGCCACCTTTAAGCGCTGTAACACTCACTGCGAAGGTCTGCGGCTTCACTCCTGAAGTCAAGTGAGACCATCAACCCACCAGAAGGAAAAAAACTCCGGACACATCTGAACATTTTGAAGGAACAAACTCCAGACACACCATCTTTAAGAACTGTAACACTCACTGCAAGTTTCCGTGGCTTCATTCTTGAAGTTAGCGAGACCAAGAACCCACCGGAAGGAGACAATTCTGGACACATTACCACATGAGAAAGTAGAATGTAGCATGGGACTGGAGTGTCAGCCATTATTTGGAACTGGGTCTGAAATTAGGTGATAACCAAATGGTGCAAAATAGTGAATCTCCAACTCTGGATAGTCAATTTTGAGCCCACTTTGAGTATAGTCTCATGAACCATCCATCTGAGGAAGAGGGCTCATATACAGAAGAGGGTAGTAGGGGTTACAAAGAAAAGAAAGCATGTGAACACAAATGCATTGCTGGGAAATAGTAAGGCTGGTCCAAGAGACATTGGAGAGGCCAGTTTGTTTGTTTGTTTAAATATTTCTGATGCAAATTGTGAGGATATCATAGTAAACAAAGGATCTGATGCATTCAGGGTTCTTGTAAAGATTATTAAAGTACATAAAGCACTCCAGTGGAGGCTGGCCATTCATAAATGTTAGATGTTGTTATTAAAATATGAATTTTTACATCATCTGGATTTTTCATGGATAGGCCCATGGAAAGGTCCAGGAAATTGAGGAAATATCCATTGAATTATCATATCAGTAAAAGCTGACCTGCTGGTAGTTTGGCAACTAGAAAACTTCTTTTTTTGAGACAGAGTCTTGCACTGTCACCCAGGCTGGAGTGCAGGGGTGTGATCTTGGCTCACTGCAAGCTCCGCCTCCCGGGTTCACACCATTCTCCTGCCTCAGCCTCCAGAGTAGCTGGGACTACAGATGCCCACTACCATGCCTGGCTAATCTTTTGTATTTTTAGTAGAGACAGGGTTTCACTGTGTTAGCCAGGATGGTCTCGATTTCCTGACTTCGCAATCCAGCCGCCTCAGCCTCCCAAAGTGCTGGGATTACAGGCATGAGCCACTGCGCCCAGCCAGAAAACATATTAATAGATCATTTATGTTTACTATTTTTGTAAAAAACTTGTTATGATAAACTAGCAATTCAAGCATGTAGATCTCTACTAAGGAAAAAGAGAAACCTTTATTGGATGCCTATGTTGCAGGCACAGTGCTAGTTGAGAACATCTACACTATCAGCTTTTTTTACTTATAGTGTACTATCTCTATGAGGTAGAAAATATTACTACCATGTTTATGGGTGATAAAAACACTATGATTCAAGCTAAACAGGGCTACTTACACAGTATCAAACAATTGTCCTTTAAAATTCAATTTTAAAGCTTTTAACAGGTGTGAAACATCTGAATTTCTCACTGAAAACAGGAGTTTTTATTGACTTTCTATCATATAAATGCTGTTGTACCCTAACTCTGAAATGTAACATGACTAAATCGGTACCTCTTTTCTAAGGAGTTATACTATATATCTATTTTTCTTTTCTGGGCACTATGGAGACATTTTGTCATATTTACATTACTTTCATATCCTTGAAGAATGTAATGATGGTGTTTTTCTGAAAATGAGCACTGCCTTTTTTGACTCAGATGGCTGAGTGTAATGTGGCCATCATCCCTCCATGTAACACTCTTTTTCATCAGGCACTGAGTTCTTGATGGAACCCATAGAAAGTACAGCCCCTACCTTCAAGGAGCTTATTTTTGCCTGAACATAAACCAATTTATTTCCTGGTGAGCAACTCTTCTAAGTCTTATAGCATTGAAATTGATCAGTCTCATCTTAAAAGGCTTCTTTTACTCATAAGACCATCTGGAAACCAAGAGATGTACATGTAAGTTACATTCTAATGGGCAGAGACAGGCTCACCACCGGAAGCTTGCTGATAGAGTGGAAGACTGGCAAGTGCTGATGTTTACCAACAAACAATATCCTTTGTAATGGGCTTATTGGGGGGGAGTAAAGATTGGCCACATGGATGCACTAATCTGCCCCTCCCTTTCAAAATAGTGATGCTTGTCCTGTAGGCACTAATCATCCTCTGTTGTGGTTAATTGGAGGCACATAGTACCACTGCTAGCTTCTTGCTGTGATAAATATTTAATCACGGAGGGGAAAGCTCCTTTTTGAGAAGACACATCAGTCTGCGACTCTTGAAAACAGAACAAAGGGCACTGTTACCTGGAAGGAGCCTTCACTGCCTAGTCCAGGGTTGAGAAAGGCCCGCCTAATTACTTCTGCTGAGAAGCAGCAGTCTCCTTCTCACTGACTGTCTGACATTTAGACATTTCTCCCCTCACCTCTTCCCGTTGGTGTGAAAAGGAACTGAATACAAAATGAAAGTCCACTTTGCTAGTGAATTTCCTACCCATCACAAAGTTAGGCCATGGATATGTGGTGTGTCACTCTAACTGTGGCATTTTTCTCTCCAATTAAAAATAATGGATGATGTTGGCCTGTCAGCCTGCATGGTATTCCTGTAGGGAGAAAATTAGTTGTTATCTCTATAGAGCTATTGTCCACTAATTTGAAGTTCAAGGTCTGACTGCGATCCATCTCTATGTCTCCCCGCGTTTCGGTGTGTCACTGAGAATCTGTGTTTCTCATGGGAAGACTCTGACAGGCACCATTATAGGTGAACCCATTTTTCCTGGAACAATTTTCGTGCAAACTGGGAGTGAAGAAAGATGATCACATCTTTCAATTACTCAACTATATTCCTGGAACAGTCTTCTGAATTTGTTAGTAGCTACTTCATCACTGAGATGTTAATGTATTGTATTGGCCAATTTTAGATGACAATTACATTTTGAGAATAACAACAAAAAAAATTTCTTAATATATGAGACATTAGAAGAAAATAAAGAATATTCAGCCACCATTTGGTCAAAGGGAATGAACTATTCTACTTACGTGTGTATGTATGCTCCTTATACATCGATTCCTCAATTTGGAGAAGGATATACAAATTTTTGGTTTGTCCTCTATCGTTAGCAGAAAAATATGCTGACAATTTTAATGTTGGATACAAATGGTTGAAGAGGTACAAACTACATTTAATTAAATCTTGTAAGCCAAAGGTGATTTTTAATAGTTAAAAACATTTCATTCCTCTTCAATTACTCCTACTTAGCCTTCAGGGTCCTCTCTTCCAAAGGGAGTGCTATTGCTGAGGCAGACAACTTTCTTCGAAGAGAATTATGTCTTGGGTTATAAATGGAGTCAATTTTTAACTACTGTTTGAAAAATCACCATTATATCCTCATCTCTAAAGATAGCAAAACAAATCTAAAAGCAATATAAAAGGAAGACAAAGTAATAAAACATTAAAAGGATAAAGCAAATTATTTCAAGATATAACCAATAACCACAAACTCAGCAGTATTGCAATAACTAGAATGCAGCTCAGATAGAGCATTGTGAATGGGGAGTCTTTGACTATGTCTAACTAAATAAATATATAGAGGTTTTTAAACTTTATATTACATAAAAGTTCTTTAAAAATGTATTGAATTAACCTCAAGCTATGAGCTACAATTTCAAACATATAGCATGAGTAAAGATAAATTTGCAATAAAAATGTCTTTAATTCATTAGTTGTGTTTTCTTATATTCAACAAATATGTTTAACATGTTTATAAAGTTGCAGCCAAAATATCTAGATACTTATGTTGCTTTAATTTATTTAAAAATTATATCTTAAACATTTCTTCATGTTCTTAAGGGTCCTAACATTTAAGATATACTTAACAAAACTTAATTTTCGTTTTTTCATAAGTACAGATAATTTCACAGTGAATATTTGTTTATAAGTATTATATATCTTCTTCAACTTGTTAATGTTCAGGTAGATAGCCTCAGATAAGATCTCATAAATTTAAAATCTATCTCAAAGTTATAAGAATATAATAACCTTGAATATTATATTCTTGAATAACAAGAATAATAACCTTGAATATTAGAGGCTTGTGCTACCTTAACTACCACCTGAGAAAATATTTTTTTTTTTTTTTTTTTTTTTTTTTTTTTTGAGACGGAGTCTCGCTCTGTCGCCCAGGCTGGAGTGCAGTGGCGCAATCTCGGCTCACTGCAAGCTCCGCCTCTCGGGTTCACGCCATTCTCCTGCCTCAGCCTCCCGAGTAGCTGGGACTACAGGCGCCCGCCACTACGCCCGGCTAATTTTTTGTATTTTTAGTAGAGACGGGGTTTCACCGTGTTAGCCAGGATGGTCTCGATCTCCTGACCTCGTGATCCGCCCGCCTCGGCCTCCCAAAGTGCTGGGATTACAGGCGTGAGCCACCGCGCCCGGCCGAGAAAATATTTTTAAAAAACTGAAATTGAGAGAGGAGGAAGGAACAAACTGGTTAGGCAGGCAGTTAGGATGGGTCTTCAGTTGAATTATTTCAAACAAAAGAACAACCTGCAGGCATAGATAAGGGAACTTGCACAGGGAGGCTTGCCTGAGGCATGCCCACAGCCTCATAGGTAAGAAAGGCTACACAGGAGATTTACCCAGACATGCCCAAAATGGAAAATTTTGTCCCCTCACACATACACAGTAAGGGGAACAAAGCAATATGGAGTAACTCAAGCTAAGGGCCCACATGCATACTAGGAGGATGGGGTGGAGCTACCAGAAATCTGCACATTATGCAAATGAGATGCCTAGTCCTCGTTGGTTTCTTATAAAAGCTTCTGTATTCAACTGTGAAATGGAAACCCTTTTTCAGGACCCCTCTCTGTGGCAGACAGCTTTCTCTCTTCTGATTATTTAACTTCTGCTCTAACCTCACCCTTGTCATGTCTGCATCCTTGATTTCCTCGGCCGTGAGACAGAGAACTTCTGGTGGCACCCCAGACAATGAGGCTGTTTCAAAATGTTTAGAAGGGGATAATTATAGACCAATTGCTTTGTGGATTTTTCCACTGTCTTTCTTAGTTTTAACAGACTAGTGAAATATTCTATGTGAGACAAAATCAAGTAGCACTTCACAGCAAGCAGTGAAATATTTTTGTTCATGAGTTCCACATTTACTCTAAAAACATCCCAAGAACAGGAACATGGGAGAGTAAATCTACCTACTTCAGTTGTCTAATTTTACAGAATAAACTGAGGCCCAGCTAAGAGAAAGGTCTTGTGAATGCTTTGTTCCCTGCTTCCCAGTTCATTAGTCTTTGGCCTGTAACTATATTACCCCTTCAAAGAGGGCAAAAAAACCTAATTTCTGTAAAAGAATGTGGTTTAGTTTTCATTGTGTTTAGAAAAATCAGGCTATGGAGGCTATGGATTAGATATGAGTCATTAATGCAGTAATTTTATAAGAAATATGACATTGACACAGATAACAGCAATTGAAACATCTTAATATTATTTGATTCATAATGATCACAATTGAATTAGGATATAGTAGCTTGTTTGTATTCCACAATTGATCTATAGGGTACATCCATGGGAGAAAAATAAAAGTGATTAATTGTTGAATTTTCCTTACAAGTTAAAAAAACATGTTAGCTTCTATTAAGCTTGGAAATAACAAAACTGTGGCTGGTTGAGGGTGAAGACTTAGGAAGACTTCAAGTATGAAAAGGATGACTCAGAAGATATAGAGCTGTTACATATTCCTGGGAAGACCAGAATAGGAAGTGAATTTGAAATGGATTAGAAGGGACTTAGGTTAGACATAACAAAACATGGTGTAATGGATTTGAAATATAACTTCACATTATTTTTATGTGCTATGAAAATGTATTCCCAGGAAAACTGGAAAAGCCAAAAGAAAAAAGGAAAAGGACAATATCTGGCTAAAACATTAGCGTAGATGTCTACAAAAAGAGAAGTTAGAGAATTCTGATTTCCCTTCCAATCCTGTAATTCAGATTTTCAGTGACTAAAAATGCAAAATCTCCAGGCTAAGCATATCTCTCTTAAGATATAAGTCTTCACATATTTAAGCTTAGAGCAATAAATCACATGCAGAATCCATACAAAGTCATTTAACTCAAAAATAGAGTGGTCTCTACTTTTTCAGAAATTGGTTAGAACAAAAACGGAAAGGAATTTAATGTATAAAGTGAGAGGTAGTTGCAAGGAAAATGACTTATGGCATGTAAATGCAGATTTTTATGATACACACATTTAGTAGATGGATTTATAACGTAGAAAAAGTTTCAGATGGCATTTAATCTTATTTAGTTAAATAGGATATTGAAACACACTATTTTTTTTATTTTACAAAAGGAAAAGCGTATTAAAAATAATACCTTTGAAATCAGACTCTCTTTTTCTAGATTAAACTAAAGTTAGATAATATTTTATGTGATACCAATCTGTTGCCATGGTTAACATTGCAAAGGGGAATTGAAATGGAAAATTTTCAAGGAGACAGTTCTTTGGTGACATGATGCTCTTCTAAGCTAGCATTGTATTTCATTTCAAAACCCTCTCTCCACTCCTGCAACTGCACCGTTACCACAGTCTGTTTGGCACCCACTATGCCAATAGTGTAGGACACAATTACATAATATTCTAGGATGGAACTACAGGAAATCTTTATTAGTTTCCTGTTTCCGCCATAAGAAATTTACCACAATCTTAGTGGCTTAAAATAACATGAATTTATTATTTTACACTTCTGGAAGTCGGAAGTCTGAAATAGTCACATGGGGTTAAAAATCAAGATGCTTCCCTTTCTGGAGGCTCTAGAAAAAAAATCCATTTTCTTGCATTTCCCCCTTCTAGAGTCTGCCCACATTCCTTGACGGTGGCTCCTTTAAAGCTCAGCAATGGTGTGGGCTAGGCCTTTCTCACAACTTGTTACTCTGACCTCTTCTCATTCATGCCTCTCCTGTTAAGTATCTTTGCGATTATATTGGGGCCACCTGGATAATTAAGAATAATCACCCATCTGAAAGTCGGTGATTAGAAAAGTTAATTTCATTTGCAACTTTAAATACCCTTTGCAATGTAACCTAACATATTCTTAGGTTCTGGAGTATAGCACATGGGTATCTTTGGGAAGGAGAGGCATTGTTCTGCTTCACAAAGTCAAAATGGCGTGCATGCGTGTGTCTGCGCAGGCACACGCACACGCACACACACGCACGCATACAGGAAACTGAATCTACAAATAAACTTGGGGACCTTTCTTTGCCACAACTTTAGATAAAATAGGAGTTCCTTTTGCAAAACTGTGTGTCAAAACTAGGGCTGCTAACTCATATTTTAGCCAGATCCATGTCTCATAGTCATTCTCTAAATGACATAGCCAAAGTGAAAGAAAAGAGGAAATTGATATAAATCCTGAAGACGCTTTTGTGAACACTGAGTTTTCCTTTTGTTTACTGACTTTGAAATTCACTGGAACCTGATGCTGTGGACAGGGAAGGTATGGAAGAAATTTGCAATAGTAATATTGTTGTATAAGTGGAAGGATTCTGTTATTCAATGTGTTATAAAAATTGTTACAGATGAAATTAAAGGGCAAGAATCTCACTGAAATAATTTATCAATTATTTTATGGGACATGCTCAGGAATACAAAGAAACCTGGAAGAAAGACATCTGGATTCAATTAAAGTGGTAGGCAGCACTAGTTAGGGAGGTAGTCTTTGTGTGAGCAAATGGCCAAGTGTTTGATTCATGGGAAGAGAGCTATAAAGAAATATTTTTAATGAAGATAAAATAGCTGAACCACTTTAATATTGTGGTTTTCTTGTTTGTTTCACTAGCGATTCCTGAGGAATCTCATCCACACTACCCTATGGACTAAAAGGAAAAGCTCTGTAAGTATCTTTGGAAAGGCTTCTGTGCCTTTATAGTTGCATTTTAGTTGACCAACCATGTCATGTCACACTGGATGATGTGCAATTTGGACCTTTTGTGACCTTGGGAAATTCACTAAATCTAATTCCAGAGGATCCGGCAAAGGCAAAATTTACATTCCTGATTCACTAGATGGAGAAAATTTGACTATATATGAAGATACTAATGGTTCTATCAGTAATTTATTAAAACTGGTATGGGTAAAATGGAATGTCATGTTGAGTGATATGTGCTTTCTACAGTCCTTGTCGGAATATCCTAGAGAGTACCATTTTTGTTAGCATTATTATCCCAGCATTCTTAAATCCAGATTCAGACTCATTGTCAGTTTTTTTTGAAAACTACATCCATCAAGACATTTAAAAGTGTTCTATAAAATCAAATAGAGTAATGATCAGTACTTTATTTCTACATCCAAAGAAATAGACAGTTATGCCAAATGATAATGTTCATCTCCTTTACATCCCACAGAGCAGGTGACATTTCAAAAACTATCCACAGTTACTGCAAAGTATACATTTTTCATATCCTGCTTATGTTTGTATTATATTCAGCATGTTTGTAAGATACAGATTTTTTTTTTAATGTGTGATGTTCTTTGAAGGACATCAATAAAAGCTGATGTTTGAAGTGATTCTGATATGCAATCTAAATAATAGGATTATAGAGTCAAGACAAGAATCAGATATATGCACTAAGAATAGTAATTTTTGTACAAGATATTTTTCTATGGGTAAAGTTGAAATCTTTAAAGAAGTATTAAGATCTGATAAAGTCTACTTTCATGAATCCTGCAAATTCATTCCATGACATGCTCTCAAGTGAAGAATGAACGTCAGTGCTTTTTTCATGTGAAAAATATTTGGGCTGCATAGACTATCAGGAACATAGCAAAACAGCAAACTTGTGTTCACAATATTTTTTGTTTTCTTTAACATAAAATGAAACATTTTGACATTTAAATTCAAGACAAATTGATCAATTAAGAGTACGCTGAAGTTTTTATTTAAGATTTAGCACCTGCTAAAGTTCCTGAGTGAAGTCTGTGCTTAGGAGCTTCCTGCATTTCCTGAGCAAGGCCTTGTGTTTCCTTAATGCATTCCAACATTTAAACAAAAAATTCACTTTATTTCTGGAAAAGCTATATTGAACAGTACTGAAAATCAGTGAAGGGCCAAGACCAATTCGATGTGTCCTTTTAGGTTCATTGCAAATTACTCATTACTTTCTTATCTTTGCTGAATATTCAGGATACAATTAAAGGGACTGTGGGTGGGCTTTCATCTTGTCCACTTCACTCACCATTTTGTGTTGAGAAAAACACACATTGTTAGCATATTAGATATTTATTACCCAGGTGAGCTCTGGTCTATTTGTGTGAACCAGTGCAAACTAAAAGCAGCAAGTACTCAAAGTTATTATGCGCTTGACTGGAAAACAAATTGATAAAAAGAAAATACACCATAAACTCTTGCTCAAGAGACCATTTGCTGGTGTTGCATGTGGCAGTAAGGATCATCATCCAAGGTTCAAAGGTTAATTGGGTTGGTAAATTTGGGCTCAAGTTTCCATCACTCAACTGTGTTTATTGGATATTCCTTGGAGAGGGTATAAGGGCCAGCATTGCTATGTTCTGGTTTTGAGATACTGGAGGTGAAAGAAATAGAGGAAAGTGAGACAGAGCAAGAGAACCCTGACACAAATGTCACTTTTTAATGTGTTCTAAAGTGTAAACGATGAATATGGATACTTTGGCTGTTTACACAGCCTGAATAGTTGCCACATAAGTTACTGACATTCAGCCAGTGCCTATCAACATAAAAGCACAAGGAAAAAAATGTTTTGAGAAGTTAAAGTTCAGTAATGTCTGTACATGCTAAGCTTTACTTTGCACTGGGCAGCTTTGCTCATTAAATTTCAGGCCTTTGAACAGAGTTAGGACTAGATAAAGATTATTCTTTCATTGAAATATATGAATGGCTGCCTTCCAGATATATGGGTGTGCTTTTCTGGAGGGACATCTAATATATGCAAACTTGGGTTTAAAAGTATATAATTTGAGATGGAAAACTATGTCCATTCATAAAATAATGCCCTTAAATATGGCATTTAAGTTGTAGTTGAATTTCCAAATTGAATTAACTATTTTAAATTTCCGTAAAAACATGCTATAGCCACTGGAGTCTATTTATTTGTCTGTCTATCTGTCTATCTATCTTGATCATCACCATCATTTTCTATAACTATTTTAGCTCTTTGATGCTTATTTGCTACTAAGGTTCTAGGCAGTCTATACCTAGAATAGATTCGTTTGTAAATAATAATTTATGAAATAATATTTTGTCATGTCCAAGCTTTACAACAATATTGTAATATCCTCATTTATAAGAAAACTGACTCTCAAAAAAGGTAAGCAACTTGCTGAAAGCCACACAGATAATAAGCACCATGATTCAAATACTCTTGCCAAGACATGTTGAAAGCAGTCTGCCTTCCACAAGGGACAGCTTCGTCTAAACCAAAAGAAGGGAAAGGCAGCTCTCTTCATAAATTTATCTATACTTCAGTTCTCTTAGGGCAAATCCACTTTTTAATCTTGATTTATTCAGATCAGCTTTTTGTGAAAACACAATTTAAAGGAGAGCTGCTAACTAAGTCCTATTTGTGTTGTGCTGGGGCCATGTGGCTTAAGATGCTTATGATATAAAAATATGACATTGTTAAAATACATTTATTAAATGTATTTTTTTCTCCTCCTCCTCCAAGTGGAGAAAAATGATGTGTCATCAGTATTGACATGCTTTTACTATACTATTATTCCTGAACCACCTTGAAGGAAGGATACAATGAAGGTTCATTTGTTATATGCCTACAACAATAGATAGATTTAAATGGCTTCTCTCCATTATTGTATTCACAGCAGATTTCCTATTGTGTGATATAACATGATATATACAAGCAAGGAGAAAAATTCCCAATCTTATTTATCTTTTTTTCTGGAAGGTGAAGCAGTATTATGTTTTACTACCTGCCTTGGTTTCTCATTGTTTTGATACATTTTATTGTAAATAGTGTGCTATTGTTCATTTCCAGCTTGTTTTTAATCTTAACACAAAGAAAAAAGTAGTAGTGGTCATTTGCATACTTTATCAGAAGCATTTAGCCAACTCAAATGGATTTTTAAGACAGTTGTATATTTTTTGTTTTTCTGAATCTTTATTATATATAACTTTAACTCCAAAAAAAAAATACCCTAGAAACAAATAATTTTCCAAAGAATCAGTTAGGAAATCTTTATAAATATTTCACTAAAACTATTACTATTCTTAAAACCAAAACATTGATGATCAAATATTATGATTTATACCTTAGTGCAATCATTTTCCCATGCAAACGTCCCACTGCTAATGTTTTTAGAACCTCTGATGGTTGATTATTGTTAAAAGCACATTTAGGGGAAATGAGAATGAGCCAAGAAGAGCTGGAAAACCATTCAGATGAAGTTGATCAATGATACAATATTCCATGAACTTAAGTACAAGTCCTCTGTTTTTAATGATCGATTATTACACTTCAATTATTATTTAAAATTTCTACTTATTTTTGATTGCTTAGATATGGCAGGAGTCATTGTGTTAACAAAATAGTAGACCATGTCTACTGCTGCAATCTTCTGACAATGAGTTTGCTTATATAAATAAGTACAGACACGCTAGGCTCAAGGGGATTGCCACCAGTAAGTGATCTTCAAGTGGAAAGAGCTGACAAAAAACGCCAGGCTCTCTCCCCCTTTGTTAAATCAATATTCTTGAGTACAAAGTTAAAACTCCAATGCTCTGCCTAGGAAAAACCTCTGCAGCAAAAGCTTAACAGTTGAAAATGATGAAGTATGTTTTTGCCACATTCATACACCCATGCATTTTTCATTTTCAAAGGATCATAAAATGCGGTTTGTGATTTTCAGCAAATGGCATTAGGAATTTATTAAAGTGTACTGCACACACTGATAATTAAGAAGTAAAAAAAAGTTTGCATTTTAAAGTAAATAAGAGTATAATTGGATTATTTGTAACATAAAAGATAAATGCTTGAGGTGACGGATACCCCATTTAGCTGGTTGTACTTATTATACATTGCATGTCTGTATCAAAATATCTCATGTACACCATAAACATATACTCTATAGTGTGTATAAACATATACGACTCTTCCACTTACAAGAATTAAAAATTTTTAAAAAATGGTTTGAAGAACATTGACCAAAATATAGTGTTCATACTTCTTGGAACTCAAACTAGAAGTCCTCAAACATCACATTAACTATCAGCTTCAAAGCGATAAAACTGAAGGTATTCCCATTGGCAGAAAAATGAGCACATATTTATGTGATTGCTGTCTGTCTGGTCAAACAGGTTATACAGCCTAGTGTGCCAGGCGCCCCAGTGAGAGGACTGATTAAAAGTCAGTGTTTTGGATCAGTTACTGGGAGTTGATAGGGCATGTAAAAATGTTATCATTTGAGGAAGAGTGATCAAAAGTGAATTAAAGATCTAATTAACAGGAAGTCAGGACAGCAACTATCAAGGAGTCAAAACAAAAGGAGATGCAGTCCAAGAAGTAGACGGTGAAAGCAGAGATAAGAGGTTAAGTCCAGGACACAAGAAATCAGTGTTCTGAGTGTCTACTGCACAAGATAGAACTATTCATGCTGTAGACATGAAGTGGTTCTTAATGGCAGTGGACAAATAACATGGAGGTTCCAAGGCTCCCAACCAAGTTCTGGAATGGAAGGGGAGAAAGCTCCTCTTCCGTAAATCCTCGCGAACACTCCTGGCCATGTACTCATGTGCACACATGGGAGAGAATGTGCATGCACACTCAGTGGTGACTACATGGATGTGGCTGTGTCCTGGGCTGTCACACTGTCTTAGTGTGTCTGCTACTCCCCCGGGCCCAATCCCCATTGGATTATGAATCCAGCATTGTGGTCAGGGCAGGGAAAAGGGAAAGTAGGGGCAGGAGCATCCTGTTGCCCATGGCTTGTGTGCCCTGCTATCTAATAATGAGTGGGCAAGATCATTTGTGAGAAGCTAGGGTCGCTGTCCTCAGTACTAGGTGACCCCAGCACAGAGCAGTTGAGTGTAATCCATAATACAGTAACTTAAAAATGTATTATTTGAGGAATGTATATCTTATGACCATATAAGCTAATAGAGACCTTGGGTCAATTTCATGGTCTTAATGTCCAAAAATAAGTCACAGATCCAGGTACCATTAGAAAAGGTGATGGTTAATGGAGCATTAGGCATTCATTTCCAGGAGCAACTCACAGTTGGGGAAATCATTTGCTCAAGGGCCTTGTGTATCAGCTCTGCATACTGCACAACTGAATTTATTTTTGTTTTGTTTTCTATTCTTTAAGTATGTTCCCTCTCAACCCCAGAACAGATGCATAGTCTTCCTGCTACCTGGAGACTTCTTTCCCCATCCCCTGTCTTCTGCTTCCCCACATAAGTCCTTTTCCTTCTACTGAGTGCTTAAACATACTTTAGCTTTTGGCTCAAGGACCATGTTCTTGTGGGAAACCTGCCTGACATATCCAGTGGAGGCCGACCTCCTTTATTATCAGAACATAGCAGCCTGTTCCTTTCTTTTACATCAGTTTATAGCCACGTGGGCACTGAGTGGTCTGTTGGCCACTGAGATTATGGAGGGGTTGCATGTATTTATAACAAAAGTCAAGGTAAGTCTATGAGAATGAGTTGCTGGGAAAGGGTACAATAGAATACAAGGGAATAGAGTACAAGGTATTTGGAGGTCAAGGAATGGAAAGCCCACCTGTAGGAAGAGTCATCTCTGTGCATGTTCAAATAACCATGAAGGATCATGGCAATAGTTTTGGAGAGACAGAAAGTGAGCCAGGAGCTCAATTCTTCAAAGAATGAAGTTCCATGACTTGAAGAGGGGAAGTATTTATCTGCAAAACCAGGGGGATGGTTGATATTGTCTGATGACAGGAGAGTTCAAGGTGAATGATTACATGGTAAAGAGAAGAACAATGGTCTGAAAATGGTGATAAGCAGCAAGGAAGTCACTTATCGCATGGACAGGCCCCAAGGGTATGAGAAGCCATGAGAAGGTTGTAGGGAAAGCAGTTGTTTGAGGGGAGAGTCACAGTTCAGTTAGAGCAAGAAGATAAAGTGAATGCTCAAAGAAGAAGCAGAAGATATAGGAGGGTTCACTAACGATCGATTTCGAGTTCCAGAAGCTCTGTGAATTAAGATAACACATTGGGGCAAGGTAGGAGAGAAAGTCAAAAAAAGGCTAAGGTCTGGGTGGTATCAGGATTAGAGTTAAAGGGATGAGCGTGAGTTCTGAGCTTCCATTGGTGACCTCCACAAACAGGACAAGGTGTGTGATGAAATTAAACCTGGATAGTCCTCACCGTTCTAAGACTGTACATGGTGGGGGGAGGGGGCACTGTAGGGTGTTCCTAAGACAGGAAGAGTTCTTGCATACCTACTTGGCTTCTGCTAATAGAGGTAAGGTTTCTTGAAGAGAGGTGCTCATACTTTGAATATTTGGACAATCATGATGCCTGCTAATGGTAGTCTGCAGAGGTTCTACTCCAGATATGTGGGTACCCTCCACAGTGGGCAGGAGGTCTTATTTTGGGTCATAAACTCCCTCTTACCTGTTACTGATGGCAGCCCTCAGGGTGGTAATTGTCCAATAACTGGGAATTATTGTACTACTCTGTTCTACGTTCTGGTAACTCAAAGGCTGGCTTCATGGTTTCCAAGGCCCTTCATTGTGTCTTTGGTGCTGAAGCCTGGAGTTGAACTACCCAAATTTAATCCCAGAGTAATAAATAGGCTTAATTTCTTTTTTATCAACCGTGTCTTAATGTGACAGCTTCCGACCTCCCTGTTTTATATCTGCTGGGCATCATCAAACCTGTCCTGCCATTGGAATTCTTACTCCATGAATAGCTTCCTTGTAAACTGCTTATTTGAATTCAGCCTTTTGTTTATTATTTCTCATCTTTTGACTTACTTTACAATTAGAAAATCCTGACAGCAATACTGGGCTCCCCGCCTTCCCATCACCCCACAATTGGTTATGGCTGGATTTGATCCATTAGTACTTTCTATATCCCTCTGAAAGTAAAGAATAACAGGACCCATGTTTCCTGTCTCACTGAAGTTCACCTAGCTCAGCCTATCTGTAATGCAAAATATGACACTTTTCCTAAACACAAAACTTTTCTCTAAATATAGAAGATATGACTCTGGTGCAATACAATTCATTTGTTTCCATGACTAAAGTCTACCCAAAGCAACAACAAAAACAAAAATCCTGTAGGGTTATTTTTATCCGGTATTTATTTTTAATAAAGATTTTTGTCTTTTTAGTGATGTCCTTTCCCTGGAGATTTTGCTAACTCAACAAAAATTTGTTAAATTTAGGTGAAGAAATAAAATATTTCTAATTTCTAATCTTTGTTTTTGAAAACATCTTGAACTGTTCAAATTGCTTGCTGGTGTCGATGACTTAATTACTTGTGTTGTGAGAAGGGATTTAACCCAAAACAGCTACTGAAAACTTGGTATAAGCTGTGTATCAAAATTGTATAAATCAATTTTTAGATACTGTTTACTAAATCTGGGATTAGAAGCTGATATTGTTTCAGTATTCTTTTTAATTCTTAGCCATAACCTTCTAGGGTCATCAAGCCTATTATAAATGGCTCACTAGAGAAATTAAAGAAAACTGCTTCCAAGTTTTCTTAACTTGCCCAAATGGCCAAGTTGAGTAATCAGTGCCAGAAACATTTAAGATGAAGAAAAAACAAAAACAAAAAACAAACAAACAAAAAAACAGAAGAAAGAAAGGGTATTGTAGATAAAGCAAAAGTAATATGAACTGCCTTGGCCCCCACTCTTCACTCAGGCCTGGTTCCAGGACTTTATTCTCCAGCGACCAGGCATGCTCTTCCTCCAGGTAGAAATGGCTGATAAAGAACATGGTATTATTGGCTTTTTCTGAAGTATGATTCTGCTTCCCCCAGCATCTTTCACTTGGGGTAGAGAGGAGTGACAGCTCCATCTCAATGTTTCACCTGAACAATGAAACTAATAATTAAACTCAGCAGTTTCACTTCTTTATCAGGACTTATTTGTTCATTTATTCAACAAATATTTATTAAACACTTATTCATTCATTCATTCATTTATTCAACAAATACTTACCAAGAGTCAACTGGGTACCAGACCTTCTCCCAGGTGTTAGGAACATAATAATGCATAAACTCAGACATAGTCCCTCTTCATAAGTACCTTGAAGTCTAGTGGAGAACACAGTAAACATAAAAATAAGTGAACAATTGCAAAGACAAGGTGAACTTTTCTGTTATAGCATTCAGCAGCAAAACTTTTCCTAGCCTGAGTGGCTGGGTAATGAGAGAATTGTTGCTTGAGGAAATGATCTAAGCAATGAATAAGGATTAACCAGGAAAAGGGGCGTGCAAATGGCAGGTACAAAAGTCTTGAGGTGGGAAGTAGCAAGGCATGATGAAAGTAGGAAATAAGAGAGGTCAGAAACCAAAAAAAATAGTGTCAGTAGGAGCCTGCTAGAGATCTGAATTGTGTCTCCCCAAAATTCATATGTTGAAGCCCTAATCTCCAACGTGACTGTATTTGCAGATAGGGCCTTTAGGAGATCATTAAGGTTAAATGTGGTATATTAAGGGTGGGATCTTAACTCCACAGGATTTGTGTACTTAAGAGGAGAGGTATGCCTTCTCTCTCTGCCTTGCACCCTCTCCTCCCCACTCCCCATCTCTCTTACTTGCAAGCACCTAAGAAAGGCCTAGTGAGGACACAGCCAGAAATTGAAGGCTTCGCCGGAACCTAAACATGCTGGCACCCTGTCCAGGACTTCCGGCCTCCAGAAATGTGAGGAAACAAATTTCTTGTTTGAACCACCCAGTATATGGTATTTTGTTATAGTGGGCCCAAGCAGATTAAGACAGAGCCAGATCCTATAATGCCTTACAGGCTATTTGGTCCCAGAAGCGAGGAGAAGCCATGTAGGTTTTTGGCCATGGTGGGCCCAGGGGCTAGGCAGGAGTTGGTAAGAGATGAGTGACAGGATGAGATTTGACTTTGAAAAGATTACTTTGATGACAGAAAGAGAAATGATTGAAAGGGAGAAGAATGAATGCAAGGAGATCACTTAGGAGGTCATTGTATAATTTAGAAAAAGGATGATCCTGGTTTGAAGCAGCAGATAAACATTCATGTATGAAATAGAGAAATAGTAAAAAATAGACAAACTTGGAGATGGGTGGGATTCTGAGAAAGGTGGTGAAAAGATGCTGCTACTCCACTCAATAAATGGTGGTGACATTTACTACAGTGAGGGACACTGGAGGATCGGTAGCCTGGGTGGGTGCAGAGGAGAGACTATTGATTTAGTTTAGGCATGTTGATTTTCTTTATACAGAGACACAGAGTATATAATCTCACCGCTTACTTTTCATAAGTAAGCATAAGTAGTTCTCTTACATTTCATAAGGGAGATCTGAACTGATGGTAAGAATTTGTGAGTCATTATCAGATGGATGATAATTGAATCCATGGATTTAAATGAAATTGTCTAGGGGCTATAAAGTGAGAAGTGAGGGGGGTTGTATGATGGAGTCTTGAGTAACTCCCACGCATAAAATAATTTTCAATTATTTATGCCCCCGCCCCTACTCCCATCCTTTTGCCTCTCTGTGCACACATGCACACACACACACACACACACACACACACACACACTTCTGACTTTCAAAAGAAGGGCTCAATCCCAATGTTTTCATTATTTATAAAGTTGTCCCATTTGAAGTGGGGGATACTCATTGTCAATATATTTTGAAGGCCAAATCATTCTAACTGAAGCAAAATTATCTCTTATCTGATATGCATTTGTTATAATACTAGCGTTTCCTTTCTCCAAGGTGACGTAATGTTTGGTGGTAAATTTTCCATAAAAAAAAAATCATAAGATTTGTGATCTATTTTCCTGTGATGGTGAAGGACTGCTTCGGGAATGCAACAAATGGGGCAGGCACATCCCTTCTCTGAAGTGGTGGTTCAACTTTTAGGAAAATTCTATTTTTTATCCAAATATGTGGTGTATATGTATTTATATCTCAGTTAATTTTAGGTACCTCCCAAGACAGCGTAGTATCTGATCCTAAAATGACTCTGAGAAAATGTTAAAAGTTCCTGAATAATTTTTATAGTCTCTAAAGAATGAAAGTCAGTTGTATCAATTGTAAAATGTAGTCTTCATAATCCTGATCATGAATTAAATCTAAGCTCCTCTTCAGGGCAAGGCCTTCCTGTTCTCACCTTGCTCTCTAGCTTCCTTCCTTTCTGCTCCTGCATGGGAATGTAAAACTTTACCGATAGCCAGTGAATTGTAACAGCTTGACTTTGCTATTGATTCCGTCTCTAGGCCAGGATCACACTAGTCCTTTTGCCTGGAAGACCCTTTCCTTGTTGGTTTACCTGATGCAGTACTCATGCGACCTGCCCTCAGGTCTCAGTGTGAGGGCAGTTCCTTCTCTGAAAGCCGTCTACTCCCTGAGTTGGCCCTGAGACATCCCTTCTCCTGTATGCCCATTATATCTTTTAAGTTCACCATTCTACTCCTCTTCACATTGTAGTTAAAATTTTTTCTTCTCTACCCCTCTATGAAACAGCAGCAATATGAGGGCAGGAATCAGGTCTTTTCTATTCTTTGAATTTCCAGCACCCAGCCTTTTTTTTTTTTTCTTACCCTATGCCCTGTAACCTACTGTATTAGTCTGTTCTCACTTCTGTAAAGTGAGAACTATACATAAAGGACTGCCCAAGACTTGATAATTTATAAAGGAAAGAGGTTTAGTTGACATACAGTTATGCATGGCTGGGGAAGCCTCAGGAAACTTACAATCATGGCAGAGGGGAAGCAAACACATCCCTCTTCACATGATGGCAGGATAGAGAAGTGCCAGGCAAAAGAGGGAAAAGCCCCTTATAAAACCATCAGATCTCATGGAAACTATCACGAGAACAGCAACATGGGGGTAACTGCCCCCATGATTCAATTACCTCTTACTGGGTTCCTCCCACGACACGTAGGGATTATGAAAACTACAATTCAAGATGAGATTTGGGCGAGGACACAGCCAAACTCTATCACCTACTTAAAATAATAAAATAACAAACCATATAAATGAATAGGCCATTTGGTCATGCTCTGCCTTTGAATTGACAAATATCTGAAGTTGCCAGTGTTTAAAATTATTGTTCCCCTAAAAGAGAAAAAAAAGGACCAATCTTGACTCATTATCTAAAATATTTAAATATAAAAATGAAGACACCATTTGTTCATCTAGTCAACATATATTTATCGAGTATTGTGTACCAGGCATTGTTCTGAGCTCTGGAAAATAGAAATTTAAAGAAAGAGAGAAACATGGTTTTTATCTTCATAGAACTTAGTGAGAGAGACATAAATATATGAAAGAATTATACAAATAAATGTAAAATGATAGCTGTGATAAGAGCTAGGCAGGATACTTAATGGACAATTACTGGGTGCTATGGAAGTGATTAATAGAAGCTATAGATCTATTCAAGGGTGGCAGGGAAGCATCCAAGGGGAAGTGAGGCTTCAACAGGTTTTGAAGGAAGGGTAGGTGGTAACCAGGCTGAGAAGGGAGGAGGGATGGGCAAAGCGAGAATGTAGACAGGAAGGAAGGGCACCCATCAGGCAGGCCTTTGCAGCAGCGGTGAGAATTTGGCTCTTTATTTTCAGAGCAACGACAGGCTGTTACAGCCACATCTTCTTAGTGATATGATCATGAGAGTTAACATTTATCTGCCGTAGAGCTCTACTTAATATGTTAGGATGGTAAAATACATTGAGTTTTTCTTATACCAGGCACTGTACTGTGTACTAGAGATAAAAATGTGAACAAACATGGTTCTTGACTTCCAGAATTTCACATTCATGTGGAAGAAAAGGTATAGAAAAAATATATTTGTGAGAAGTTATAATAACAGAAGAATATATAAATTCAGAATATAAAACAAAGCTGAAGCTTGAGGTCTGTGAGGTTCAGGAAAGGCTAATGTCAGCAGTTGTTCTCTAGAGCAGACATTGAAGAATGAATAGGTATGTTTGCAGGGGGTGCTGATCAGGCAGAGGGAACAGCATGAGCAAAGGAATGAGGGTATGGAACAGTATGGTGTGCATGTGTGTGGAGCTCAGAGCGCATGGCAAGTAAGCACTTCAAGAGCATAAAGTACACAAAGAGGATGAATCAGGCAGGAAATTTGGATCTGGGCAGGAGGTGACAAGTATCATTTGCTGTAACATGAAGCTTTTCCTAAAAAAACAAAAACAAAACTTTGCTATAGATAGTTGGAAGGGAAGTGGGTCAAGCAAGGTGATAAGAAGAAACAGGAAACAAAGTTGATAGTATATTTTTTTTTCTCCCATAGGCAAAGTTGTTGTACATAAATATACTTTACTTTTGTGTTCTGGGAGTTTCAGAGCCTTTATCTGTTCTGTCTTCTTTAGCTTCCTCTTTAGGATTTTCTCCTCTCTGTCCTCTCAATTTCATTGACTTTTATTCTCCTTTCAAAACCTAACTCTCCCTGGTGCTTTGGAGAAGAGGTATTCAGCTGGAGAAGATTCAGCCCCTCTTCTTGCATTTCTTTATCTCTTCTGAATGCTGATTTCATATCCCTACTTTGTTCACAGAACACCTGGCATTCTTCCGTCATATTTCCAAATTTCTCTATAAATAACCAGCTATGGGAATTTTATTATCTACAGGACACACAAACAAAGATTTTCTTGACAGTCTACCAAATGGGTGTGAGGTATATCTATGATCAGACCATCCCCAAGGAATACGTGGCCTGCCTCCATGAGGGAACAATGAGAAGTCGAGCATTTGGGGGGATATTTGCAATTTTAAAAGGCATGTAAACCACACTTTAAAAAAATACAGGCTTTTCTTCTTGATATGTATAACTTTCCTAACTCTCAGTTAGCTTCATACCTTCAGGCAGGAAGGAAGAAATGCAATATTGGCAAAAAATAATTCACTAGAATTGGCTGGGAATGATGTGTTTCTGGCACTCTGAGATACTTAACACCTTTCAGAATAGAGGAAAAAGTTGCTTTGAAAATGTTTCAGCAAGGCACACATGGAGAATATTCCTGATGAAGACAGGCTGTTAGCACTGTATTTTACCACTGCTTTCCTCCACCCAATTCCATCACTAAATATGCTGTTATTCTCCCATTTGGGGTCAAAAGTCTAGAAACTGGCTAGGGTTTCTGCCCTGTTTCAAATAAACTTATTCGTAAATTGCATAGAAAAAGAGTTTCTTTCAAAACAATACACATATACAGATATACATGGACCAGTATCAGTATCCAATTAGGCAGATGAGGATGGTACTGCATTGGCAACAGGCCAGAACATACACATGGATTAAAAAAAAAAAAAAAACAGGCTCAAATAAAATAACCTAAATCAGGCTCACAATACTTGTCTCTTTTAAAGAACTATTCTGTAACATTTCCTAGAGTAATATTTGATCTCTTGATTGAATTATGATTTATTTTCAACAGGTGTACACTCTGACACAAAGAACCAGAGCTGAAATTGAGTGTGTTGGGTTCCATTAATTGCACTGGACCATATTTGTAAAAATTATTTGTCCAGAGAGTGGTAGGCAGCACTTCGAATCTGATCTGGTAGATTTAGTCCAAAATTTTAATGCCACACTTTGTGGAAATTGATAAACACCTGGGAGTAATCAGATAAGACTGAACACAACTTGAATCTTTTTTGATGAGCAGTTGTGATGTAAAGTGAAAAAGATGTTGGGCCTGGAGTCAGCAGATTTGGTTTTAAATTTGAAGTCTATTTCACATATTAGATGCTTAATTTTGAGCAACTTCCTTAACCTCCCTAAACTCCAGTATTCTCAACTGTAAAATGATGTAATAATGCCTATCACACAGTGGTTTTGAAGGCCTTAAATTGCTTTTGCATATTAAAGTACCTAGCAAAGACCCGGGGTACAGAAAGCTTTCAATAATTGACTATTGGATAAAAATATGAATGAGTTTAATTTGACTGTTGGGAAATACCTTTTTCCCAGATGAAACAGCCATTGACTTGCAAAACATGAGGGGCAATGACTGAGATGAAGACAGAGGAGCATGGCCAGCCTAGTGCAGACAGTGTATTGAAATCCTTATAGAGTGTTTACAGAAATGCCTGCCCTGTCTTGAGGTAAGAAGATCCTTCCCAAATCTCACCTCGGGTTCTTAGTGTCATACTGGGCCACTCAGAGCCCAAGGAAACTCCCCAGACTCTTGAAATTATTTGTTTCAATAACCATGAGATGAGCTCCTGCAAAACAGGGAAAGCATAAATTGCTTCTCCACAGATTAATCAAATGTAATCCAATCTCACTAATAATGACCAAAAGCTTCCTATGCACCAAGACTCTACTAAAGATAAACATATATGTCAATAAATGCATAATGTAGTGCTGCACAAAGCAACAAATAAAGTATATGATAAAGCGGAAGAGTAAACCAAGTTTTATTTGCTCAGTAAGATAAAGAATTAAAGAGGAAGATGGTACTTTTCTTGGATGACATTACATTTGAAGGGCAGAGGTCCCCATAAATGGAGATGTTCGAAAGCATTAGAATTTACGGTCTAGAGTGAGTGAGCAGAGGCATGAAATCATTAAAAAAAAATAGATCCCTTCCTAAGCAGACATTCTCAATGTAGCTTTTGTACTTTCAGCCTTTTCTTTCACTCCCTTTTATCCGTTTTATCTTTAATTTTTTTTCACCTAGAATTCCAATACAACCAACATCTGCATTCGCATCCTTTCCTGGTCTCTCCAGTCAGAAGGAAATATATTCCATAAGGTGAATTAGATTAGAGTTGCCCCTAGGGAGGATTTGCATTGTGCAAGAGGAACCCTTGGAATGGAAAATGAAATGAAACCATGTTCCATAGTTTTCCCAAATCGAATGGTTCTGGGTGAAGGCTATGTTGGAGGCAGGGCAGTGGAGCTTGGGGGATGGGACAGAATGCTTTCCACATGGCCCATTGGTTGCTGGCTGCATCTCCAGAAATAACTTAGCCCTGTGCTTTTCCCAAATGAAGGCTGCTAAAAAGGGCTGGCTTCCTCAGAAGAGGCTAAATGAAGCCACTGAATGCTCAACAAAAATGGGCTCTAACATTTTTATAAATTTCTTTCTTTTTTTAGAGACAGAGTCTCCCTATGTTGCCCAGGCTGGTCTCAAAATCCTAGCCTCAAGCTATCCTCTTGCCTCAGCCTCCCAAGTAGCTGGGACTACAGGCACTTGCCACCATTCCCAGCTTTCTATCACTTTTAACAGCAACATTCCAGGTTGATTTGGCAGCGATTATTGTGAAGAGGGTTTCCTGAAGAGGCCCAGGAAGAGGGGTGATGCCTGTCACCCACCAGGGGTCATGAAAGGCTGTGTGTCTGGAGCTGAAGGGGACAGAGGGGTGCTGTTACAAAGTCCTCTCTGAATGTTAATTCCATGTTCCAAATTTGTTCACAGAACACCTGACAGAAAAACCATTCTTACATTTCTATGATAGCAGGTTGAGATTCACACGCGCCTTCACTTCCTGCCCTTCGTTGCAGTATCCATGTGCTTCATTAAACTACTGTCATATTTTCTCCAGAGATGACTGCTTTTCAGTTCTGGGTGAAGTGACAGCTAAATATAATGGAGCATAAATCAATCTGCAAACATCTGCTCCTGGGGCCTTTGGAAGGAAAGGTGAGGGAAGTGTACATACATATGTAAGCTCTCTGTAGCAAGACTGAATTTACCACTATGCTCCTGTATCCTTTGGAGATCCCAGGACATGAAAAATCCATTGTAACAGGACACAGGAAACCCTGCCTCTTCAGGGTCAGCCTTCAAATCACTGCATCAGGAAACATTTCATTAAAATTTTCTAGTAGAAGAGGTAACCTTGTGTTTTAAGTAAAAGAACATAACCTAAAGCATATGTAGGGAATAATACCTAATGGAAGAATACGTTATTAAATATCTGCTCAAAAATAATCTTGGTTCTACCAAGAAAAGTATATTATGGGACACAGTATAACTGTAGCCCAAGCATAAAACTCAAATCTCAATGTTCATGATTTTTTGTTTGTTTGTTTGCCTCTCTCTTTGTCTTTCTCTCTCTCTGAAGAGAAGAAAATTTAGGTGATTTTAAAGCTACAGTTCTCACAAAAGGTTTATGCTCATCTTTTCACTGATGCTCCTATGCATTTAGTTTCTGTTTCATTCCATCAGCATGCCAAAAGAAATCAATTTATAAGCATTACAGACTTTCTCTCTGAGTTATTGAAAATAAATGCTAATTCATGGGAAAATTGCAAACATGTTACAAGGTACAGGTAATATCTTTTAATGTATGTTGTGAAAGTATGCTGAACCATATGAGCTGGGCTCATAGTTTTATATACTGTGGGTATAAAAGCTCTCGGTATGTTTGCTAGGAAATATGGAGGCAATTCAGGAGGGTGCTTTGCTACAGAGCATGCATTTTATGTTTGTCTTCCTAAATCTTGCCAATACATACTGGTTATAAGCCTCAGGATAAATTTGCAATAGAATTTTCTGTCTTACTAGAAAATCAAATTGGCAAAGCTCTTGGCTAGTAGATAGGGTTTGGGGATTGCACAATCTTAAGGTTGAAAATGAGTTTGGAGTACATACCTATTATGATCTGTTTCAAAATCAGGAATATACAAACTTAATAAAGGAGAGAAAGTAAAAATCCTGCAGGACACATATCACAAGCCAAGAGCAAAGATGTTTTTCTCATTCTTGAACTGAGTGAAGCAAGCCTAGTTTACAATGACCACTGCCTCTACTCTCACAACGCTGCTATGCTTGTAACCTCTGTGATAGGAGCTCAAATTTGGGGGAAAGATCTGGGTTTAAATTCAATGCTGTCAAATCCTGAACAAGTTGCTTGTTCTCTGATTCCTCAGTTATAAAACCTATCCACATGATTTTTGTGATTACTAAATGTGACACAGTAAATGATGTCCTGACCCAAAGTGAGCACCAGCTACTTTTCACTCTTATCTCCTGATTGGAAATTAGTCATACTTGCTCTCAAGATACAAAAAAAAAAAAAAAAAAAAGTTCAATTAGTAATTGTTGAGCATTCACTATGTGCTAGAAAATGTTCTAAGTATAGGGATATAATTGTGAAGACTGTAACAATAAGAAGAAATAACATTTATCTAAGAGTGTCAGACACTAATCTAGGTACTTGATATAGCAGTAAGTCTGCCTTCCAGGATCTTACAATTTAACGGGCATACAGGTGAGAAAATGGGCAGAGGCTGTACAGTGTGATGAGGGCTAAGAGAGTTTGTTCAAGGGCCTAAGGGATCATATTTCTATGGTCAATTAATCAGAACTTGAGCGGAGGAGGAAGATTTCTTAGAGAAGATGGCATCACTGTGACCTGCTTATGAGAAAGAGATGGCCTTACTTTCTGAATTTTTGAGTGGTAAGATAAAAGACTTAGCAGATTGCATACTGTGCCCAGAAAAATGGTCTTTAGATCATTAGGGTAAGAAAGTATGTATGTGTCTTGGTACAGGGAATGGGGTGGATATGCAGATACAGAATACCCAAGACTGGCAGTCAATGGTATGGCTTCATACAGAGAGAATGTTTCCTCTATAAATCAAATAAATAACCAAAAAATAAGAGAATCCCTAGTAAACAAAGAAACTATGAGAATTAGAGTGTTAGAACAAGAAAATGGGTAACATGGCATTTGAAGAAAGGCTGGCTACTCTAAAGGAAAGCCCCATAAAGTCACTTAAACATGAGAGAGCTAATGAATTGGTGCTTGTGGTGGATGGTATTACTTGCCCACGATTCTTTGTTCACTCCTTACCCTTGCCATGACTTCCCTGCCCCATTGGCTCTGATCTTGAACATGACTTGCTTTAGCCAATGGAATATAAGCCATTTTGCTGTGAACATGGGCTGAAGTATGCATATGCCGTTTGTTGTGGCTGTTATACTTCTAGCATCTGCCATGAGAAGAGCATGCCCTAGACACCTCTTTATCAGGGTGACTCACATGTGGAAGATCCCAGAACTTTATATGAAGCAGAGCCATCTCCGTCAGCCCATAGGCCTGTCCACAGGAAAAAATTATAGATATGTTAATCATTAAAAACCACTTAGATGGCAAGGCGCGGTGGCTCATGCCTGTAATCCCAGCACTTTGGTAATCCTAGCACTTTGGGAGGCTGAGGTGAGTGGATCACAAAGTCAGGAGATCGAGACCATCCTGGCTAACACAGTGAAACCCTGTTTCTACTGAAAATACAAAAAACATTAGCTGGGCTTGGTGGCAGGTGCCTGTAGTCCCAGCTACTCGGGAGGCTGAGGCAGGAGAATGGTGTGAATCCAGGAGGTGGAGCTTGCAGTGAGCCGAGATCACTCCACTGCACTCCAGCCTGGGTGACAAAGCGAGTCTCCGTCTCAAAAACAAAAACAAAAACAAAAACAAAAAACCACTTAGATTTTGGGAGCTTTTTATTATGTAGTATTATTGCAGAAAAGAAATATAACTAATGAAATATGCTTTTGAACAAATATTCTTATTGTTTCATTGTATTTCTTTAGAAAAGAGGCTGAGTGTTATGGCATGGAAGAACAAAGAAGGTGCTCTACTGGTGGCAGTGCCTAGCTTAGATATTTCACTTAGCAAATCAGAAGTTCGGAATTACCTGAACTAACATTCCTTAGTAGCTGCTGTGTCAGATTTTTTGAGTACCATGTTTAAAAGTTCAAGCTTTGGAATCAGCCTTCCTTGGGTGAGACCTTAATTCTGCCACTTTCCCACTAAGACAACCTTGGGCACAAATTACTTGACTTTTCTTGATGTACCTTTTTCTTCTCATTTGCATATAAAATAGTATTTTTTTTACAAGGTAATGAGGATTAAGATAAAGGTACAGTGCTTAGGACAGTTTCTGGCAAATAGTAAATTGTTAAAAATTAGGTATCACTGTTCACAATAGCAAAGACGTGGAATCAACCTAAATGCACATCAACAGTAGACCAGATAAAGAAAATGTGGGGCATATATACCATGGAATAGTATACAGCCATGAAAAGAATGAGATCATGTCCTTTGCAGCAACATGGATGGGCCCGAAGGCCATTATCCTAAGCAAACTAACACAGGAACAGAAAACCAGATACCACATGTTATCACTTATAAGTGGGAGCTAAACACTAAATACACATGGACACCAAGAAGGGAACAATAGCCACTGACACCTACTTGAGGGTGAAGGGTGACAAGGGGTTAAGGATTGAAAAACTACCTATCAGGTACTATCCTTATTACCTGGGTGACAAAATAATCTGTACACCAAACCCCCACAACACACAATTTACCCATGTAACAAACCTGCACATGTACCCCTGAACCTAAAAGTTCAAAAAATATATACACATAAGAAATTAGACATTTCTAGATCATAACTCTTCCATACCTATGTTAAATTTTTAGACTACTTCATCCAACCTTCTTCATTCCACTGCGTCTCTTTTGTGTGCTGCCATATGACTTTTTAGTAGCCCTAGAATAATGGCACCCTGAAGAAGTGTCTGGATTTCCACTCTGTAATTTGGGTTGGGTTTTAAGGGCCTTAAAAAATGGTTTTTAGTATCTTCTTTGATCATTTATATATTTATTTTTATTTGTATTTCTAAAGAGACAGGATCTCATTATGTTGCCCATGGTGGTCTTGAACTCTTGGGCTCAAGCAATCCTTCCACCTCTGCCTCCCAAAGTGCTGGGATTATAGGCGTGAGCCACCATGCCCAGCCAATTATTTAAACTTATTGAATAAACAGTGCTAAAATCAAGTGACAGCTAGTTGACCACTTGAGAAGACCAGTTTCTGAGATTAATTTTGGACTGTTGCCGATTTGGAAACTCTGAAAAGAGGAAAACGTGGCTGTAGCTTTCTTTAATGGAATTTCCTCTGGCAAATATTCTCTTGAATTGCATAGCAGTATTTAATTCACAAAATGTCAGCGAGAAATAGTGTTAGCTCACTTGGCCCTCCAGAAGAAACTGTTTTGTCTAAGATCAGGTATCTTAATGACAGAGGCTTTTTATTAATATATATTCCTAGGCAGTGCAGCCACATGTAGTCACTATATAGGAAGGTTATGTTTCAGAAATATGAGTGCCTTATAATAAAGATATTTTCTTCATGAGGTTCCTAAAATGTATGCTAGGTAATCCATGATCCACTAAATCCATGAAGTAATGGGTCTGAGATATATGCCATAAACCACAGCAATTCCTTGATGGGAAAACTCGATGTGGATTTGTATATTTCCCTGAATGTCAAGAGTGGTGAGGATGACTAAAGTTAACTTTTTTTCACTTTTCCCCTTTCCTTTCACAAAATAGACAAAGTTAACTCCACTCGTTATTTCAGAAGAAAAAGTTACTTATTAAAAAAAATCCTTCTGCAAAAAAAGAAGCAATAAAAACAATTTCATAGTTTGAAATGTGGCAAAACATGTTGTGATAATCCCCCCAACACACACATACACACACACATTAAAATCATTCACGTAAGTTCTTATCTATTATTTCAATTATAGAAATGAGAAAAATTGTTCACTTTGATGGAAAAAGGCAATAATATAAAATCAAGACCAATTAATTTCAACATAAATTACATTTTCCTTAGAGAAAGGGTCACACCCTCACCAATGATATTCCTTCTGGAGGCACAAGTGAAGTTACTAAAGAGACAAATACATAAACATGCACATATTATACTCCAAGAACCTTAATAACCAACTGGCTGAAGCTTTTCATTCTGTAGCTGATTAGACAGAGAGCTAAAGTATTTAAATGTCATCTATGGTAGTTCTAAAATAAGTCCACAAGTTTTTATAAGCTCCACTCAAACGGTGGAGCCCAATTTCCCTGTCCTTGAGGGTAGAGCAGATTTAGCAACTTATTAATATTTTCAAAGAATAGAATGTGGCGGAAGTAGTGGTACAGGGCTTGTGAGACTAGGTCATAAATAGCACGGCTCTTTGCTGTCTCTTGGATAGCTTGGTCTGGGAGTAGCCAGCTGCCATGTCCATGTCAACAGAGAATTCTAACAGGGCCCCAAGCTTCAGACTCACTAGTGGATCATAGATTACCCAGCATATATTTTAGGCACATTGCCTCATGAAGAAAACATCTTTATTATAAGACACTCATATTTCTGAAACATAACCTTCCTATGTAGTGGCTACATGTGGCCAGTTCTAACAGGGCCCCAAGCTTCCTACCCCTTGATGTGCATGCCCTGCCCCATGAGTGTGGGCAGAACATATGAATACCATCATACATGCATGAACAAATAACCATATATGGAAAGGGTAAAGGGACAGTTACCCCTTGGTTATATTATGTTATGTAACACTGTCATAGCAAACTGGAAGGAGATTCTCCTGCAGCCTTTGAAGAAGTAAGTTGCCATGCGGCGAGAAGGTCACATGCTAGGACCTGAGGACAGCCTCCAGGAGCTGGAAGAGATGCCTGGCCAACAATCAGCAAGGAAACAGGGACCTCATCCCTACAACCATAAGAAACTGTATTTGACAAACAACCTGAGTGAGCTTGGAGAGGGACCCTGAGCCTGGTGAGAACACAGCCCAGCCAATGTCTTGATTTCGGCTTCAGAAGAAACTCTGAGCAGAGGCCTCCATCTAACCTATGCCCTGACTCCTGACCCATGGAAACTGTAAGATAACAAACGTGTGTTCATTTGGGTCATTACATTTGTAGTACTTTGTTATAGAGCAATGCAAAACTAATACTGAAAGGCACTCAGGCCTTCTGCCAATAACCACCATCATATGAATGAACCATCTTGGAAGTGGATCTTCCAACCCCCATCAAATCCTCAAGGACTGCAATCCTGGCTGACATCTTAACTGGAATCTCATGAGAGACTCTAAGTCAGAACGGCACAACTAGGCTGCTGTATACATCCTGTTTGGTTAAAAATATATTTTATAATGTTTTAACATCTTTAGAGGCCTAGCTGGCAGGATAAACTCCTCCTCCTATGGCTAGCAAATTCAGAGATAATAAACAACTCACTGATGAGCAAAAATGCATATTTCCTGTGTGAACCAGCCAATCTCAATCTCAAGTCAATACCTCCAACCACCTGCTTTATTTGACTCACACACCAAGCCAATATTTTCCTGCCCTAAATCAACCCAAGACCAGGAAGGTATCACACAACTAGAGACCACCCCTACAGCACAGAAACCCCCATTATTCTAATCAGTCAGTGCTAAACGTTATCCCTGACCCGCTGTGCCTCTTTCACAGAAAACACAATAAAGACTCTGGGCCATAGTTTCTCCTCCCTTCTTTCCTCTGCCTCCTGACCAACTCTGGCGCATCCCCACATGACCCTGTGCAGAGTGGCCTAGCTACCTGCTCTGGGGAAATGCAAGTAATACATTCTTCCTTCAATGAATAAACCTCCCTATGCCATCACTCAAAAAATTAAAATTCTACCATCCTAGCTAACACAGTGAAACCTTGTCTCTACTAAAAATACAAAAAAAAGAAAATTAGCTGGCCATGGTGGCAGGTGCCTGTAGTCCCAGCTACTTGGGAGGCTGAGGCAGAAGGATGGCATGAACCCAGGAGGCAGAGCTTGCATGAGCCGAGATTGCGCCACTGCACTCCAGCCTGGGTGACAGAGCAAGACTCCGTCTCAAAAAAATAAAATAAAATTTTATGGATGCATTTTTAACAAAGCTACTCCCTAATTTCTGATCCACAGAAATTATGTAAAATAAATGTTTACTTCTATGTTAAGCTGTAATTATTGGGAGAATTTGTTACACAGCAAGAGATGACGAATGCACCATCTTTGCCACTACTCATTGACAGGGCCACAAAAGTGAATCTAGGTTACTGATCCTCCTGCATGTAGGATAAAGTAGCAAAAAGAGCACAGATTCTGACTTCAGACAGATCTCAGTTTGAATTAAAACACTGCTGTCTACTTTCTCTTTAGGCTTCGTCAAATGCCTTTTTCCTCGATGAGTCTCAATTTCCTTATCTTTAAAGTGGAAATAATACCAAAGTCATTAGCATTCTATGAAATTTTTGAGAACTAAGCAAGAGAAAAGTTAAAAAGGGCTTATCATGGAATTGGAATTAAGTAAATATTAGATCTTTATTTCTAATCTTGTGTTCTTCTCACTGTCAGTATGACAACCAAGTTAATAATCAGTTGCTAACACAAATAAATTTTGTTGGTCTTAAGATCCCTGACAAGCTCTCTTTGTATAAGCAACTAACATTTGAAGGTAATGGTAAAGGCATCAGAAGAGGGAAACACAAGAGATTGATATGCATAGGAACAAAGAGACCACCATCACTATCACCATCTTGAAGAGTTTCAGTGTCCTTTCAGGTATATTTTGTAATTCTTGGTTGCGGAAGTGAAGGGAGCCAGGTGGTTCCAGTAGAGGCTGAGTGCTGTGCCAGAACACCACTGTGAGAAAAAGAGGAAAACACAGTGCTCTTGTTTTCTCTTATACTTCTTATCTTTGCTAAGACCCATATCTCTCCCTTGCTGTCTTTCCCTCTCTCTTTTCTGAGAGATGTAATAAAAATATGAACAAATGCCAGTTGGCCCACTAATATATCCCTTCAGCTAACAAATCATGTCAACAAGCATATAGCAAGGATGATTCTCAAGGTTTATATCTACTTGAGAAAAAAGTTATGACATATTGAAAAGTTTAAAATCATAAGATGAAAATATAGACAATTAGACCTCAACATTAATAATGAAATCTCAAATAGGGGCTTCAGATAGGTTATTTGGAGATGGATTGTACTCCACAATCTTCATGAAACAAAAATTCTGGAAAAAATATTAAATTATAATGATAATTTTGATATTCATCTTTTTTTTAGTATGCTGGAAATATGGAAACAGTGAAACTCTACCCCGTCCGATACCATATACAAAATCAGTTTTTCTCTCATATGCTTTGTGTCATAAAAATATTTTGGCTTAAGCAAATGCCAGAATTTTTTCTTCCGTGTATTCTAGAAGTTTCATAGTTTTAAATGTAATGTTTAGGCATATGCTTCATTTTAATTTAATTTTTGTATATGGTATAATTAAGTACAAATATTCTATTGTTTCAGCACCATTTATTGAAAAGCTACTCTTTCCCCATTAATTTACTTGGGCAACATTGTCAAAAATCAAATGACTATACTGTCTATGTCTATTTTTGAACTCACTATTCTATTTCATTTACCTATATGCCTATTCTTATGTCAATACCATATCATCTTCATTACAGTAACTTTATCATGTTCTGAAATCAGGTAGTGTAAGTAGTCTGTTTTGCCATTCTCATTAAAAATCATCTTGGTTCTCTATTGCTTTTGTATTGTCATGCAAATTTAAGAATCAAATTGCCTATTGTTACAAAAGTAATGTATCAATGTTGATTGAAATGTTTTTGGTGTATATTTCACTGTGGGGAGAATACACATCCTGATAATATATAGACTCCCCGTCCACAAACACAGTGTATGTCTTTATTGGTTTAGGTCTTCTTTAATTTCTCTCAGCAGTATTTTGTAATCTTAAGGTAAATGTATTGCACACATTCTATGAAAGTCATCCCTAAATTATCACATTATGATGCTATCACAGCTGTTTTTTCAATTTCCAATTTTTCATTGTTAGTATACAGAAGTACAATTGACTTTTATGTATAGACCGTATATCCTGTGATATTGCTAAACATCCTTATTCATTCTAGCAGCATGTTTGTTCAAATCAGAAATAGCAGAGAAATAATTCATTACCTATCGTTTCTTCAAATCATTCATATATTTGTACCTACCTCTTCTCTCTACATTAAAATCATTAGGAGTGTGCATAAAAACTAGAAAATGCCTGTTAAAAGAGAAGCTGCTGCCTGCTGTCTACCAGAGGAATATATGTTTGATGAGAGGTGCTTGGTTTGGGAAATCTGTTCTTGCTGTCAAATGCAGTTCTGGCTATATGCAAATAGAAATATGAACCTATTGCTCACTGCCTCCTGTGGTTCTGTGTGTCCCAGGAATGCCACTCTGCCAGCCTCCATCTGGCTTCTCAATTAGAGCCCAATAGGACAACTGATTTTCTGTTGTTCTAATGAGAAGGCAATCAGTTATGTGTTTCTTTCCATCAAAACTTGATTTGGTTATGGAATAGTACGATTTTTATTATTGCTATTTTAATATGCCCTAGGCTATTTGGTATTTATAATTTTTTTTTAAGAAAATGCAACAATTTTTATTTGTTTAATCCTGGTAGCCCTTCTCTTTACAGGTCACTCATATTCATTACTGATAGGCTTCAGCTTTAAAACATTACACCCTTCTCTAACCCACTAATATGGCCTCTCCCAATATCCCACCGGAATGCTTATGAAAATACACTAAAGACAAGAGAATCTATAACATAAAGTGCAGACTAATAAACATTGGCGATGGCAAAAACAAAGTTAAATAGAAAGTAATCTACCCAATGTAAGTCACAAGGCCTAGCTACATGGTTCTTCAGAAAAGCATCTTTAAAGAGGTAAAAAAGGCTCTTTATATCCCATGAGACTCTTTATAAGAAGCTTCTTATGTCAGAAAGTCAGGGATTATACAGACTGGAAATTCTCACTCCAAATAATCCGATGCATGTTTGAAATTACATGGATATAAAAAAATTACTACAAGCAGCCAAGCAAATAAAAGTGTCTACAAATGTTGGAACAATATCTATAGAGTTATCAAAGGAAGAGTTGAGACTAATAAACTGTACATCTAGAGAATATAAAAAGACAAAGGCAGATATTTTCAAGATTCAGGAAATACTCTACTATGGAAACTTTTGTAACTGGATGAGTACTTTGATCTTGGAATGAAGATGACAACTGGTATTTATAATCTTTATTCTTCATGCCTGTCTCTTATCCCCTAACACATTTATAGACAATTTTCTGAATTGTCGAAGTTAAGGAATAGTTATTTTTATATTGGGATTGTGAAAGAAAACCAGATAGTTTAATAAGTGCAGTGTTAAAAGGGCATTACCAGTACATAATAACATAAGTTGAACTCCTATAATTGAACACTATGGATAACTAGAGGCAATATGCTAAAAAAAAAAAGGTTAACTGGCCGCCTGTATTAGTCTGTTCTCCTGCTGCATAAGGTCATACATGAGACTGGGTAATTTATAAAGGAAAGAAGTTTAAGTGACTCACAGTTCTGCAGGGCTGGGGAGGCCTCAGGAAACTTACTATCATGGTGGAAGGGAAGCAAATATGTCCTTCTTCACAATGGCATCAGGAAGAAGAAGAATGAGTGCCCAGCAAAAGGGGAAGCCCCTTATGAAACCATCAGTTCTCATGAGAACTCACTGTCACAAGAACAGAATGGGGGAAACCGTCCCATGATTCAATTATCTCCACCTGGTCTCTTCTACAACATGTGGGGATTATGGGAACTACAATTAAAGATGAGATTTGGGTGAGGACACAGCCAAACCATATCATTGCCAATGATCTTTGTTTTGTAAGCCTGTTCAAAAACAGGGCATAAAAGAAATGAAAGTTTGAGAAGTGCTTGCGCAATCTAAACCAATCATAATGAAATTAATGAAGATTCTGTGTTTCATTTTCTACTGTGTTCTTTAGAAGAGCTGCTAGACCTAAATAGTAAAATAGTTATCATAGGATTTTACCTCTTTTTCCACCCCATGCCTTTTGGGGAGATGATGGCCTCAGGGACATTGCCATGAGGTGAGAACAGAGAGACGAAAGAAAATCATTGACAAAAATGATTAATTCATTTTAAACTAATCCATAGCAATAAGATGATGTATGCTTTACTATGTCTTTTCCTCTGAAGGAAACCTTACACCATAGCCTTTGAGACTGACAGATTTATGTTAGTAACCTGGAGCCTGGATCCAACAGGTAAAATGAGATGAAGACACTCACTTAAGGGAACAGAAATGCATTGCCCATATTACTATAAGTCCCTATCTTTTTCTCAGACATAAGTGATTTCCATATCTAGTTAGCTGTATATCTAGATCTAGATCTGATGATATAGTATCTACATATGGATAGACAGATAAAATAAGCACACACACACATGCACATGCTTTTTCTTCTAGTGTTAACTTTCTTACATATGGGATGTGCCTAGGCTAGGGGTATTTATGTATGTATGTGTGTCTAATGAAAAAAAATCTTTCTATAAGGTTAAAATGTAGTTCTGACTAATAAAATGAATCAGATACCTCAGTGATAGAAAGTCAAGCCACTCACTCATTATGGCTTCTCACTGGAATTTGATGTGGGTCAATCAAAGAAATACCTGCCATAATTTCAATAGCTAGCTAGTGTTTCTGCAGTTGAAAAAATATCAGAATTCAGGAGTCCAACAGCATTAGTCTTTGTAAAATTGTTTTGAAAGATGGGTCACATTACTTCATATAGAAGCATACCTAAAAGCAACTGAATGTAGCTTTGAATCAATAAGAAACAAAGACAATATATATACAATAAATTGGTGTAGATGAACTTCTGAAAGCCATCTGCAGAGGGCAATAAAAATAAAATGACAGAAAAGTTCCCTGAATATTATGACAGTATCAGAACCAGAGACAGTTTTTTTTAATGTTATAAAATAATTCGGTAAGAATAATTTAGTAGAATGCACAAACCCAAGTACAGTGTGACTGTAAAGTAATGAAACTTATTTAACCAATCTCACATACAACTGTGTTTCCATTCAGATGCTATATATTGAAAAGTGTCAACTTTCCTAGGAATCTTTATGGCATCTATGTAGAAGCAGGCACTTTACTGGGATGTTGATTTGCTCTATTCCTGGTTTCTATCAGAACTATTATGTATTTTCCAGTCAAGCTTAAAATAGGTCACATTGAAACTTTAATGAGATTCCTTCTCCTAAGGAACTTCTCTCCAATGACTTCAAGTCCACTTTTCTAACCAAAGAACAGGAACAATTCTTTACACCCAAACATTCAGATTCTTTTAGTTAATAAATTGATTATCCAGATGTTCTTCTCCATGTGAGGCCAAATCTTTGAATGCTACTAATTATTTTCTCATGCTTCATATCACATGGGCAAAACAGTTTCATGTGGTAGTGCATGGATATAATTGTGAGCCTTATATGGTTTAAATAGACTTTGGGATTTTCTTGCCTCGAGTGGAGTTTTAAAATTTCGGAAATTCAGTTCTTTTGAATTCTATGATGATCTTTGAAACCTGACTAAATTTTACCTGAAGAAAATAGCAGAAGCCTATATTTTGGTCATCTGCCACTAGGTAAATAACAAGAGCAATATTCTTGGCAAGTCTAGCTCAAGAAAGTCATGTCCAATCACATCTGATTATATTCAGGAAGTCTGGAATTTAAATGGTTTGAAAACTAATGTCTGCAATTAAATAATCAAATAAGTTAGCAAATTAACAATATCCTCTAAATTACCTCCTCAAGTAATTGTAACATTTATAATCAAATACATTTGCAGAAAATATTTTTACATCTTTGCTTTTTGATCTGCATCTTAAAGTGCTGGCTCACCTGCTTTGATGAATGTGAAGTCCTCATAGTCTATTAATTCTTTTCAATATTTTGATTCTAGAGCAGGTACCAAACCTTGCAGATTTCAGTTTTTGTATTTTTTTTTTTTACCTTTTTTGATCTTTCCCTACAAGCCTTTCTGCGTATTTCTTAGCTAAAAGGAGGGATATTATTTGTTAAAAACAAACTGATACAGGAATCATGAGGATTTACTTCAACAGGTAGCCTTCACTAAAAACCACTGATTATGCCTGTGGTCCCTGCTTTTATTTAGTTTGATCACTTTTTCTGATATTTGCTTCTGAAAAATACTGTATCTTTCAGAAACAGTGTGGGGTTATTAGGAAATTATTAAGATGTCAACTCAGCCTGTGCTGGTAACCTAACAAGGGTTCTACCTCTTCAATGATGCAGGAATCCTTTCGCAGGAGAACAAAGCAATCTGCAGATACATCTATGAGGAGAGACAGGGAACTCTTTCTTCTTTATGTAGAAAACTAGTTGATTAACTATTAAAAGCATCCACAATTTTAGTGAAAGTTTTTAATTATATCGGTCATATATGGCCCGGAAATTAGTTCATGTGGTAACTCCAAAAGTCTATAGACCGTTTCCTGACACACACACAACACTCCATTGGTAACCCTGAGCCTCACTGCAATTAAACCAGAATTGACACTGCTATAGGGCTTGGAGAATATATGTTATTGCTTACTTCATGGTTTAAATCTTAGACCTATCATTTTCTATTTATGTAACGTTGTTCAGGCGATTGCCCCTTTCTGTTTCCTCATCTACAAAATAGATAATAATATCTATTTTGCTAAAATGATTTCACAAGATAATTTGTATTTCTCAGTGCCTTAGTGATCGGGACTTAACACAATCTTCCTACAAACCATTCTCAATGCAGCAAACATAGCCCTTATAAACACTGAAGTCATCTTATGCCACTCCTCTGCTCAAAATTCTTTAATGGATGTCCCCTCAATACTTTCAGAGTGAAAGCGAAAGTCCAGACAGTGGCCCAGAAGACCCAGCACTATCTGTCCTCGTTGCTGGCCTGTTATCTCCTCATCTTCATTTCCTATAACCCTCTCTTGGCTCAGGCTGCTCCGATGGCCTGTTCTCCTTGATTCTTCACAAACCTTATAGCCACGTTCCTGTCTCAGAACCTTTGCACTGTTTCCCTGCAGGGAATAACCTTCCTCCAAAAGCCACATAGTTCGCTTCCTCTCCTCCTTCAACTCTTGGCTCAGTCACCACCTTCTCAGTGTGGCTCCATTTAAAACGACAGTCCTTCTCTTAGCCCGCCTGATTCCCTCCATCCTGTTCTGTTTTTTTCTATAACACCTGATCCTCTCTAATATACTATATCATTGATTTGGTATGTTTTTTATTCATTTTTTCCCTCACTAAAATGTTGCATCATAAAAATATATTTGTTGTTGTTGTTCTTGTCAGCTTTGTTCACTCACTTATCCCCCACACCTATAAGAGTGCTTGGCATAAAGTAGGTGCTCAAAAAATATTTGATGAATGAATAATTAGTAAGTGGTAGTGAGTTTTTGCATTAGTACTTGGCCTAATTTACTTTCTTACGACTTAGTTCATAGCCACTTCTTGTCTCATTCTTCTCCAGAGTGCCACATATGGCAGGGTAATTATTCTTCCCAAGGAAGTGCAGCCTGGTTGTGAGCCCAGACAGCCTCCAGCTACCTCGGAACATGATCATTTCCCATTTCTCCACTTTTACAAAATAGCTGTGCGGCGGTATGCCTTTGAGTGAGCATTCAAGAGTCTCCAAAGAACACTGCTTGTTTTTTTTTGTAGTCTTGCTGTGGGGGGGAATAATCTCCACATAACTCGATCTTGCCAAGGGCCACAGTTTCTCTCTTTTTTATGCCCTGCAATATAAAGTCAGCTCAGGATCTACTTTTCAGCCATAGCTGACAGTGCCTGGGTCCCTCTATTTCCACCAGACACCAGGACCATTGGCTATGAGTTAAGCCTCTGGCACACTACGCCCAGCTTAACTGCTGGTAATGAGAAAGGAGGAGTCACGCCACAGTCAAATAAAGTGCTCCTGGATGGAACTGAACATACAAAGGATGTTGGAGGTAAGGTAAATAGTGAAGAGTTTAAAGATTACTTTCTCTTAAACAATATTCTGCAAATTACCCCTCTTCTTCTCTTCCCTTTTCCTATAAATACAAGGGGCATACATTAAGGTGAGGAAGATGACAGATGGTTTCAGAGAGAAAACATGAACAACAGTTTCTTTGTTTTTATTTGGGCAGACGTGATGGGAGAGGCTCATGCCACAGCATGAGAGGGTCAGGTAGGGCTGCTGAGGAATGATTCACAGTATTCTAGTGAGACTCTCTTGGATTAAAACAGTTGGCTGCACATGGAAACTACATTGCTCTACTCTTAAGGAGAATTGAGAATAAACAAAACGACCTTGCCCAGCAACTGACTTGAACAGGATACTTCCCTAAGTTACCACTTCAAGTTTAAAATTGCAGAAGAGCACACGGCTGTGTATGAATACCGATGTATGAAATGATGGTAGTCTGCACTTCTTCAAAGGGCATAAGTTCCAAGCCCCTACCCTCCCCAGTGAATGCCCGAAACCACCATCAGTTGGAACACTTCTATTCTTGTCTTCCACCCACAAATTTAATGCCTTTCCATCTTAACTAAGCACTTATCACGCACTGTGGCCGTAACTTTTGTGGTTTGAGGAGTGACAGTAAAATTAGCCTGAATTTCTTTTTCTTCCTTCGCAATTTCACGTATAGAAGATTCCTTCTAACTGTAGATCTCAGCAACCTCAGCATTAGGATTTTTTTTTCTTTCCTTATTAAATATTTGCACTTTGGGCCCATTATCAAGTAACACAAGAGTTACTTGAAAACAAGCACTGTGATACCACATCAGTCAATCTGATCACAGATGGCTACTGAGTGACTTGTGTGGAGAGCATCTACAGCTTGCATTTATTGGACAAAGGGATGATTCCCGTCCCAGGCAGAGTAGAGCAGGAGGGCACCAGGCTTCATCATGCTACACAGAATGGTGGGTAATTTAAAACTTATAAATTGTTTATTGCTGGAATTTTTCACTTAATATTTTTGGACTGCCATTGACTGTGGGTAACTGAAACTGCAGAAGGTGAAATTGTGACTGGGGGAGCTACTGTTTTCCAACAGCGCAATACCTGTAAGCATGTGGAAACATTAGTCAGCATAATATTGGTACAATGTATCGATTTGCTTGCCAACCTTGTGAGTTAGTAATATACTAAGCTCATTCATAATTGCAAAGTATTAAACTTCCTCTGTGGGTAGCATTGCACTATACTTTGGGGGAAAAGATGCAGGAAACTGTCTTTCCCTCCAGGGAAGTCACAGATGAATGTGGGAGACAGACAAGAAATAGAATAACTTATCATATATTGTGGTTACAATCAATGACAAGATAAGTTTCTGAGTGTTAAGGGAACATAAAGAGACATTGGGGGCTGGGCGCCGTGGCTCATGCCTGTAATCCCAGCACTTTGGGAGGCCGAGGTGACTGGATCACGAGGTCAAGAAATCCAGACCATCCTGGCCAACATGGTGAAACCGCGTCTCTACTAAAAATACAAAAATTAGCTGGGCATGGTGGTGTGTGCCTGTAGTCCCAGCTACTCAGGAGGCTGAGGCAGGAGAATCACTTGAACCCAGGAGGGAGAGGTTGCAGTGAGCTGAGATGGTGCCACTGCATTCCAGCCTGGTGACAGAGCGAGACTCCATCTCAAAAAAAAAAAAAAAAAAAAAAAAAAAGATACATTGATTGGAGATGCGAATCTCAAGTAGAAAGGCAAAGAATGCTACATATTTCCAAGAAGATGTTACTTTGTCACCTTGAAAAATGCCTGAGTTGGAGTTAGCTAAATGGAGGTGTGGTTGAGTGAGAGGGGCCATGATTAGCAAAAGAAAGAGCTTGAGCCAAGAGGTGAAAGCAAGAAAGTGTATCCTGAAGGACATAGAAGGGACAAGAGGCAGGAAGGCTTTCTCTGGTATCCTAAAGAGTTTGGGCTTGACCCTGGATGGAGAACTGCTAGGAGAATTTGGGTAAGGCAAAGACACAACTATTACATTTTAGAAAAAAATGATACCACTGGCAATACAGAAAATGTATCAAAGTTGAAGCCACTGGGTACATCATGGTTCAAGTCGCTGAGAATGAGAACTGATAGAGACCTAAGGGGGTGGCAAGTAGAGGGGAATTCATGATGAACTCAGTTTGGAATATGTTGAATTCACATATTCAGAGAAATGTTTAGGGTAGTGGGGAAGACAAGATTTGGGCATAAGAGAGAGAAGAAAAATTTGAGAGGTTGAGATTGTGCAGTGCTTTATCATAGCATGTATGATCTCTTGACACATTCTTTATTTCATGTCTTCCCTGACTAGAAATAAACTTCACGAGGGTGAGAACTTTGCTTTATTTCCACCATCTAGAACTGTGCCTGAACCACAGGGAGCACTCAGGAAAAATTTACTGAAAAGATGAATTATTCAGAATTGTAGTTGAAAAGGTGTCTTCAGAGGAGTTTACTTACATGCAGTGGACATGAAATAGGGCATAGAGTGAAACCGTAGGCAAAACATTGGGTGGATAATGTCATTTGATGCCAAAAAAGAAGCACTGAGGAATTAGGAAAAACAAGAGATAATGAGGTCCCAGGTGACAATGGAAGCAGTTGTGGAAAACTGCTTTAAATGTCATAGAGCACTCAGAAGGAATTCATAAATGACCTCATAAAGAAGTCCACTGTGGTTTCCCTGCAGAGGTGGGAATAGAATCAGAGTGCTAAGGATTGAGGGATTAAGAGGAGGTGATTGTATTATTCCTCTTTTCAGATAATGGAGAGAGAGAAGAGAACAGCAGTAGCCGTTGCCAGAAATATTGAGTAAGGAATAATTTTGTCTATGTTTTTACATTTTTATTGAGAGCTGTTAAGATATGATTAAGTATGAAATTAGTAGTGAAGTTGAGGTTGAAGACAGGATAGAGTGGTAACAGGAGGAAGAAGATGTACAGAGGGTGTAAGACCAGATCTGTTTCATTTCCAGCTGTAATCTGAGTTCCATGCAAGCACTGGCTACATAATACACACTCAGTAAATCATTATTAATTGAATGAATATATTTTTGAATGAGAAAATGATGAAACAAGTGAATATACGTGGGTCAGAATCAGGAAACAGGTAGAATAGTAGTTTTGGCTGGTGGGGGAGCAGGGCTTGTCTGTGTCTTTATCTTTCTTCTTCCAGGCAAACAGTGCTTGACTCCCGTGAGTTTTTGTCCTTTTCTGGATATTAAGGGGCCAGTGGCTTTCTGGGCCCTAAACCCGCACCTTTGATGTTCTTCTCTCTGCATTTAAATACAATTAGACACGATGTGATCACACGTCTGTCTCCACTTTCCTTCTCCAGCCTAAGTTTTTCAGTTCCACTTAATTCCACCATGTCTTGAATGATTCATTTTATTTTACTTACATGTATACATCCTCATCTCACCCTCTTAACCAACTCACCCACATTCTACCTGGTCTCCCTGTTCCACCTCTGAGCATTGCATAGATTATCTGAGATTTCAAGGCCACCTTTCTGCCTGTTTTGCAATCAAACTTGTCTCTTGTAAACACACGAGAAAACCTCACCTCCTTTATGAAGTTGTCAGAGACTCCTTACAAAATACTAACTCAATGGTGTAACTCATCTGCTATTTTTATGAGTGGATTAGCTTCAGATTGTTTTTGCATGGAGACACACAGGATGTATGGTATTTGCTAGGATAGCACACTCCTCATGAGGACACCTGGGAATGCTCATCTTTTCCCTGAGCACTTGCAGTAAATTCTCCTTTTTTCCTCCTACTCATAATGAATATGAATTATGTTATAGGAATAACATTAAATCATCTCTAAGTTAGTACTTTTATAAATTCTAACATAGCTATTAGTAACAAATATTTTTTAAAAATCACACCAGTACTCCAGACTCTTTGAATAGGTTAGAGCACAATTAAGGTAGACTTAAATATTCAAACAGACAGAAAGCTTCTCCCTGTATGGCTGCAGACTGTACCTTTCTGACCAGCCATCTTATCAGTTTGAATTTCTGGTGATGAGGGGATTTAGATAAGGTGTCCCTTCACTAAGTTTACCACAAATCATATGACAGCAATTCAAAGATTATGCCTTATTCTTGACTTAAGTACAATGTGGATAATGTTGATTTATAATATAGAAGTTGTATTCGTTATCTATTAATCATTGCATAATAAATTACTCAGTGACATAGAGGCCTAATATATTTATTGAAACTGTCTCATACAGTCTCTATGGGTCAGAAATCCAGGAGGAGCTTACCTGGGCGATTCTGGTTCTAGCTGTCTCATGAGGTTTCAGTCAAGATGTCAGCAGGGCCTGCAGTCATCTAAAGGGTCCACAGGGGCTGAAGATGTGCTTCCAGGTGGCTCACTTTCATGCCTGACAAGTTAGTGCTGGCTTTTAGTAGGAGGCCTCAGTCCCTCACCATGAGGCCTCTCTTCCCTCCACCCCCATGAGGCTGCTGGCGTGTCTTCATGTTATCTAGCAGGCAGCTTTTCCTGGAGAGTGCTACAAGAGGGCAAGGCAGAAGTCTCAGAGTCTTTTATGTTCAGCCTGAGCACACACACCGTCATTCCTGCAATGTCTTGTGAGTTACACAGGTCAGCTTAATTCAGTGTGGGAGGAAACTACACAAAAGCATGAATACCAGGACCTGGTGATTGACGAGTCTTCTTGTCCTGGGTTTTGCAGAACTGGTGTAAGAAAGAACTACGTGTGTGCCTATAGAGGTATTCCTGTGTATGAAATACTTCTAGATTATGTGCTTGTGATGGTTACTTTTATCTGTCAACCTGACTGCATCATAGGGTGCCCAGATTAAACATTATTTTTGGGTATGTCTTGGGGGGTGTTTCCAGAAGAGATTCACATTTGAATCAATTGACCCAATAAAGTAGGTTGCCTCGCCAGTGTAGGTGAACAGCATCTAACATAGGTGGCAGAAGGAGGAATTTGCCTGTTTTCATTTCTGCCTGCCTACTTGAGTTGGAACATTGGTCTTCTGCTCTTGGACTGGAAATTACACCATCTGGGATTACCCAGGCTCCTATTGATTCTGTTTTATATATCTGTTTTCCTATTAGGATTCCTCTTATATTAAAACGCTTTGTTTACCTCAAACACTTTACATTTTCATTACTTACCTTAGCACCTTCACTACAATTAGTGCTAAATATTTACCGAAAATAAAGAAGAGGCATCAATATACATATTTTGGCATACTTATTTTTTACATTTATTTTCAAGCATTTCAGGGATAGTGAAAAGTCCTGATCAGTTTGCATTCAGCCAAGTATGTTGGCTATATTTACTCCAAATGCCCATGCATGATTTCAAGGGCATAATGGATATTGCAGGGACTTGGAGTCCTCTTCCAAGAAAACTGGAACCCCTGCCGGGATGTGGATAGCAGATGTGTAGTCCTGACAACCGGGACTGTGTTGTATTGCTGGATTAGATGTTCATTAAGGGAAAGTGGTGTATATGAGCTTTATACTCAAGATTTACCACTAATGCTTTCCAGACCCACAGGAATCTTCTGCACTTGTTTTTCTCCACTAACTTTAAGAGACTTAAAATCAGCCATGGGAAGTCAGAGACCAGTCCCGTGTCTCAAAGATGTGGAGATTTTGGCATCTATCCTTCTAACTGACTTGCAGTAGAAGAATGGCCTAACGAAACCTTGTTCATGTTACACGTGCTCATTTGCCCTGAACACAGATATGTAATCCAGAAAAATGACTGCCAGCACGCTGGAACAAGGTTCAGCAACCTCCACCCCCAGCCGATTGCAGTGACATTGTGCGTAACAGGCTAGCAAAGACTTGGAGCCCAGGGGCAAATTGTTTAATGTATCCATGTCTCTTTTACCTCCCTGCCTTGTAACAATAGAGCGATGATGGCTGGTACATCTTACAGGACTCTTGTGACAAAGGGCTAATAAAAATCTAAGCAAAAGCACTGTGCAAAAAAAGGGGACTGTAGGAGGCACGGTGTAACATGATAATAGAGCCTAAGAGACCTAAGTGCTTTGGGGATAATTAGAAGATTTTGGCAATATCTTCAATGTCACTAAGGTCTGAGTAACCACAACTTCAAGAACTTCATTCTGTGGTTGACTCAGTTACAGACTCTTTCACTTTACCAGGATCCACTTTCCCACTTTTTTTGATAGCAAGACCAATGTTGTTCAATTGGGTCAGGTCATATGGTGGTAGGGCCAAAGAAACATAAGGAGTCAGGCCAATCAAAAGGATGAATTCAGGCCTGTTTGGTCACATTGATGGACTTTGGCCCTGGTATCTTTTTATTTTTTTTTTAATAAAGATACTTTAAATGTTTCTGGTAGAGAAGAGTGCTGCCTCTCAACTAGAATGTTTTCCAGACTGTTTTGTACACAAGATAACTCATGAGGTATAGTGGCTCACCCCTATAATCCCAACACTTTGTAAAGCTGAGGCAGGTGGATCACTTGAGGCCAGGAATTCAAGACCACCCTGGGCAACATGGTGAAACTTCATATCTACTAAAAATACAAAAATTAGCCGGGCGTGGTGGTGCGCACCTGTCGTCCCAGCTACTCGGGAGGCGGGAGAGTCGGTTGAACCTGGGAGGCAGAGGCTGAAGTGAGCCAAGATTGCACCACTGCGCTCCAGCATAGGCAACAGAGCAAGACTCTTCTACAAATAATAATAATAATAACTCATGGGAGACTTGCACATTTATCCCCTATAGGCAAGGCGGATTTATTAGATGAAGATATCAAAATACTTTCCATTGAGGAAACAGGTTGGAGGTGGGAGGCTGTAACCATGCTTGATTTTGTACCACCCTAACCTTTGCTTGTAAGTATACTTTTTGAAAACCCATTTTATTGAACTGAAATGTATTTTGTTCTGAAGGGTTGAAAAAGGCTAAAGAAGTGGGAAGGAATTTTTGTTAAACCTTATACAATAAGGGAAAATTTTCCAGCAACATGGAAAGACATCAGAATTGAAATCCTAGTGAACTACTAACTATGTGAAATGGACAAGTGGCTTATTATTCCAATTTTACAGAAAAGAAAAATGAGACATAAATGTTAACATCTATGTGTATGATGATTACGTGAGATAAATTTGGGTCTCTATTTTGAGTGTTTTGTGGGCAGGAATGGATTAGGACTTTCTAAAATATTAAATGGGCCAATCTAAATATGTGATCAAAATTTTTCAGAGGTATATTTTGTGGTATTTACAGCAAGATGAGAATGTATTTTAAATTGATCTTTGATCATATTTTTATCTTTTAAACATGTTCTGCCTCATTTTCTCTGTAATAATAACTATAATTATATCCATTCCTCATTATAAAGCTGCTCTTTTTTCTTTTCTGACATTCTGCCTTCATCGACTAATGGTGGTGAGGCTACTACCTCCTGAGGTTACTTATAAAATTAAAGCGATTGGGAAGGAATGTTACATGCAGTCCACATTGTATGTGATACCGAGAGGAGACAGGAGGGCAGAGTCCCTGATGAGAGCTCCACCCTTAAGCCTGGACCCGTGGCCCTGAATGAGAACAGGCATTGCTGCTTTCCTGCCCAAAGGCTGCTTTTTCCAAAACCACCGTGGCCCACCATGTCCCCTATCCTGTACCTATAAAAACCCCAAACTCCACTGGCAGAGGAATAGAGTGGCACAGCAGAGAAGGAAAGAATAGAAGTGTCTGAATGTCAAAGAGGGAGCTGGACAGTCAGAGAGGAGTTTGGCTGGGGACAGCTGAGCTCCAGGGGAAGATCATCTTCCCACTCCATCCCCTTTCCAGCCCCCCAACCCACAAAGAGCCACCTCCATCATTCAGTAAAACCTCTGCATTCACCATCCTTCAAGTCCATGTGACCTGATTCTTCTTGTACTCTGGACAAAAATCCAGGTTCCAAGAGGGCAGGGTATATGTCACCCTGATTCTCCACGGGACTGTTTAACACTTAGCCCTCTGTGGACAGCAACTGCTAAAAGAGCATTAATTGTAACACATGCCCTCTGGGGCTCCAGAGGTTGTGCGCAACTGCTAGATGCTGCCCCTGGCGCCCAAAGGCACTAGCCCTGGTTCCCATACCCACTTACCTGCATGCTCCCACTCCTGCAAGGGGCTTGAGTTCAGCAACAAAGCAAAACAAGCTACCACCAACCCTCCACACCCTCCCTGTGGCAAGACTCGCAAGAGGGTCAGGGAACTCTCCCCCGTCATATGCGTTATTCCAGTTTAGTTACCTACAAAATAAACTTGCCAGAATTAGTGTTTACTACATAAGCTAAGCACCTATTTCAACATGTGTGAGCTTCTAAAAAGCAAATCAATGCTCTTCTGTCCAATTTTGGCCAAGGCTTCATGATCTCTTTCCTTAAAACATCAACTTAAATTTTACCATTACTTTTCTCTCTTCCTTCCCCTTATCCTATTTAACTATTATTAGAGACATTTTAAAAAAATTCCTTTCCTTTTCCATGCTTGGTTTCCTCAATAGCGATTTTATATAGAAAACATTTGACATTATAGTCTAGCTTTTCATAGTTAAAATTAAATATTTCATTAAAAAGAGGAGTCTATTTTTTCAGACTTGTAGGGCTCTGGGAAGTGGACTTATGAAAAAAATGACTTTGTATTTATTTACAGATAAATAACCATGTGTCTGTAATTAGTAAGAGATCCACTGTATGTAATTTATCTTTTTCTTATGTGTTACCTGTTAAAGATGACCTTGTGTTTCCCGACATGCTGTCAAGTGAAAGATTTTGTAAGAATCCTTCTATATTCCTACATTATTTTATTGCATTGCTCATCAATTTTGCATTTTCTCCCTCTCTTATGATCCTAGCCTTTCCTTTATTAGAAGTAATTATCTAGTTCATAGAAAATTGTTTAATTTGGTTATTTTCATTACTTCAAAGAGAAATTCTAATGTAGAACGATTTGTTTATATATCTCTTGCAGACTCAAAATACACACCACTATTATAAAAACCTTCCCTGCCTAGCTCATATTTCCCCCGACTCCTACCCCATGGTTCCCTAGCTTATTGAATGTACTCATAGCATCTCTTTTAGTCTGTATTGCTATCATGTGTTTTTCTAATCTGTTCCCCATAGTAACAGTGAAATCCTTGAGGGCACGAGTCTTATCTTTTTCAACTCTATTTTCAGCACCTCGCATTGTGAGTTGGTGTAAGTAGTTCAGTAAATAACTGTAGATGTCAAAATAAATAAATGTCAGCTAATTTTTATGTATATTCAAAGATAAAATTTTATTTATTGTCATAATTACCTTTACCCAATCTATTTTTTATTGTTTGTTTCAAATTACACCAATAAAAATGTGACAATAACCATGCTCATCCTTAGACTAACACCAATGTTTAGAAGCAGTTTCACCATATAGTTCCATTTTTAAAAAATTCTAAATATTTGCTATATTCTTTAATTGAGTCTTCCCAAAGCAATCTTTGAACTAATTGTTGGTTTCTCAGATTTCTATTTTGTTATCTTTAAGACACTCTTTAAATCTCATCAAAAATCTTCATGGAAATTAATTACATTGTACCCAAACGTTATAAAATCTTACCATTTAAAGATACTTTAGAGTTCATTTGAACTATTCTTCAAAGAATTAGCAATGAAGTTCTTTTGGATTGATTGATATTCATGTACCCAAGAAAGATAGGTAGAATATTAATTCATTTTATTATTTCCAAAGAGAAGGTGTGAAAATAAACTAGAACACAGTTGAGTTGGCAGAACTGAGTTTGTGTTTACAAAACTGAAAAGGCTGGACCACAATGTGGTTTACTGGTGATATATTAATTTAGATAACAATTAAATCTCGGAGACTTACCATATTGAAAGTTTATTTTTTGGTTTACACAAATCTGATATACTGGATAGGGGCTTTTCTCCTTTCATTTACTCAAGGATCCAGGTTCCAGTCCAATATGCACCATTCAGCCTGGTTGCAGCATGTTAAGCAGCCCTGGAGGCAGCAGGTGAGCTCTTCATTGCCTTGGACCAAAATTATATGTCACTGCTGGTGTCCTTTATTTGGCTAAAACTAGTCATAAAGACCTGCTAGACCCTACCTTGGCCAGTCTCTACCTAGTTATCCCCCCTTGTCACCATGTATTAATTAAATGCACTCTCCTTTCCATATGCGTAATGGACTGACCTCTCTCCAAGTGACCCAATGTAAAGGCATCCAGTCTCTGCATCTAGTTCAACGGTCAGGGTCACTGGTTGTGCTTGTTAAGGAGTATAGAACCAGACATGGGAATTCATGGCAGTCTCTACCACAGGATGTTTTGATCAAGTATGCTACATTGAATGCCTTTCACAATCAAAACACAGTCCTAGGTGGTCAGTTATATTTTTACATATCACAATTCAATTAGATGTAGAGACTAAGAACAGAACAGAAAAGAAACAAAAAATAACCATAGCATTGCTTTTTAAATCAGTTTTCACAGAAAATATCAGTATTGTTAGTTCAAATGTTTGGAAAAACCAGATTTGATCAGTTAAGATTTAACATCCACGGAGTTAGGATCTTTGGCTTCCTTAACTGTTTTATTTCTCAAAATTTTCAGTAAAAGCTCCATGAGCATTTTTATTTACTAAGAAAAAACTGTGAGGTCATTTTACTAGCTATGAAATGATCATGATACCTCACTAGTCACGTGGCGCAGTTCAAAATAAGATAATGAAAGAACAGTTAAAATTCATACTTTTTAAATGGAGGTATTGAACTAATAAAATTTTAAAAAGTAGCTTAAAGATAATTTGCTGTATGTTTTTCCTTTTCTTCACTTTCGATCAGACCCTCATAATATCCATTCAAACCACAGGCTATAAACTGTGGCAAGAGATGGTCCCACAGCAGTGCATGTTTTAAGGTTTATCTTCCCTGAGCTCTTTGAGGCGGAATAAACATGGTTACAAATGGAATATTTCTGAGCTTATATTTGACTAAAACAGGCTCAAATCAATTAGCAAAAATCAGCTATACAATAGGAGGATTAGAGAAATGATTATTTCTAGAACCATTTAACACCTCTTTAGGAAAACGGCAGCTGTTAACCCAAACCCATTACTTAGAACTTTTCTGGCAATAACATGTACCTCAGTCTGAATTTTCAGACCAAATAGCTCAGTCTGAATTTTCAGTCTAATAGTTTCTCGTGTAAGGCATAAAATATATTTTTAAATGGGACTCCAGCATTGAGTTGAAAAACTGCTTGTTTCATTCAGGTAAGAGTAGTGGCTTTTTGTACAACTAAAAAAAAAAAATTCCTTTCTGTCTCTGCCTTTGTTTATCCATTTGTAAAAAGGAATTCTTTAAATTTTCATAGCATAATTGGGAAAAACGTATTTCGAGCCCGATTTCCAATAACATAAAATTCTGAAAACTTTGAAAATGAAAATGAATTCATTTAACAATTTTATGTTTTGTCTCATTCTGCAAAAATATGCCAAATAAAAATAAAGATGAGGGATCCTATGAAGCAACTTTCAGACATTCAGAACCAAGACAAAAAAAAAGAGAATTAAAGTAAAATATGATGTACCCAGGAGTTACATCAGTGAACCAAATACAGCCTCAAATTTCGATCTGTGCTTCACAGCAGCCAGCAAAAAGAACAAAACATATTTTGTTAGTTCATATAAATAAATAAATTAAAAATGCATGAATAAATAAATAAAGCAAACCAGTTTCTCGATTCTGAAATATTTTCTGGAAGTGAGAACTGAAAGGAATTTCCACCATGGACCCACAAGCAGGTAGATTGGATTAAGTCTTTAAAACCTCCTGGTCATAGATGTGATATGAAGTTTCTTTTGACTTTTTATTTTAATGTTTAATGATTATGACAATAATGGCTAATAATTTCCCATGACCCATTTATTCAACAGTTGTTGGTGGCATATATAATGAGTGCTGGGTGTTAAGGAAGCAATGGTGAAGGAGAGACACCCTCCCGACCCTCATGGTGCTTGCAGCCTAGTGGAGCTATGAAAAGATAGGCAAGTGAGTCCTATGATTGGAGAAGTAATGAGAAGTAATGAGAAGCGTCTTCTAAGCATAGGGGTAAAGACTGCAAAGACCCTGAAGGGAGAAAGTAATGGCCATTCTGAGAACTGAAAGTTTGCACAGTGCACAGAGGGCATGAAGAACGAAGGAAAGGTGAGATTACAGAGGTATGCTGGTAACTAGATCATAAAGGGCTTCATAAGCCATGTTAACAAATCTGGCCTTCAACATGAGGACAGTGAACCAAAGCAAAGTTTAATGAAAATGATTCTGAGGTTTGCCAAAACAAAACACTCAAAAAACAACCAACAAAGAAACTGAACTCCAGCAATGCCATTGGATGAACTCAACATAATGAAAGGCTTATAAAGTGTGAGATGAACAGGGAAATGTAATGCTTATTCTGTGTGACCTGCTACTAGTCCCTAATAGAGCAATTGGTTTCTACTCCAAGAGGGACCAGACTGCAAGAGACACAGCTCATTCCCTTGCAGTCTTGAGTCTCTTCCAACAGATAGATACATACTCTGTCAGCCTAGCGAGGTCACACATCTGGCATGGCTGCTTGTATCAGCAAGAGCAGTATAAAGATGCACCATGGGCCAAGGAGAATCTATCTCGGTGGCTTGTGATAATACTAAATGCCTCATGGCCTCTGCCTTCTAGTGAAGAGGGATAGTTTCTGCTATCAAAATTAAAACAAGGCTGGGCGCGGTGGCTCACACCTGTAATCCCAGCACTCTGGGAGGCCAAGGCGGGCAGATCACCTGTGGTCAAGAGATCTAGACCATCCCGGCCAACATGGTGAAACTCCATCTCTACTAAAAATACAAAAATTAGCCAGGCATGGTGGCATGTGCCTGTAGTCCCAGCTACTCGGGAGGCTGAGGCAGGAGAATCGCTTGAATCCAGGAGGCAGAGGTTGCAGTGAGCCAAGATCGCACCACTACACTCCAGCCTGGCAACAAAGTGAGACTCCGTCTAAAAAAAAAAAAAAAAAAAATTAAAAGCTTGACAGATTGTCAGAAAATTTTTTGTTATAGTTATGTCTTCAGTGAACTGAGAAGAGTGAGCTTTGCTTTCCTTAGAAGACAGGGGCTAAAAAGATTCTCTTCCCTGTGTGTTACAAGAGAGGAAAAATGCATGTCTTCTCAATGCAAACCTCACCCTTTCCAACTATGCGCCCAGGTCTCCTCCACACAGCAACCCCTTCCCTGACCAGACACATCACTTTTTAGAGCTGGAATTTAATTTCCTCACCCAGTGAAAAATTAAAATGCTTAAGTAATAACATTCAGCAACATTGTCTGCTCTCTGGTATTCACAAAAACAGGGCAATTATGCTTTGCCTCGGGTGGCTGATGAGGCCACTTTGAATTTAAGGCATTATTTAATAATATCCATGCTTGCATCTAAGTGCATTGTTATAATTATTGGCCATAAAGCTGGGGGGGGGCGTGTATGTATGGGGGAAATAGTTTTAACTATTTAATTTGATGATGTAACAACACTCTTGCCATTACCATTCCTGCAAATTCATATCTAGCAACAACATGCAACACCTTTATAACTCAGTATTTCTTTATAACTCAGTATTTCTCTGCATGCATTCTAGTTTAAACTTCGAAAAACCATATAATTACCACTTCAAGTGAACAGGGCTTTAGGGTGCAGCCACCATCAAGGATATATTAAAATGAAAACACATTGAGGGACCAGAGAGAAGATTGTGACATGTGGGGCAATGAAACTGCATGAGGAATTTCAGTGCCTGAATTATTCACAGATTATCTATTTTGGCAGCCTTCTTTTCTTTTATAAGAAAACCCACTCATAGATAAGTCTTAATTTTGCTTTTGGCTGATATAGTTTGGGGAAGGAGTCATCTTTAATGAGGTGGTCATATGTGTTGAGGAGACTGTGGAATAGTGTTAGGGCAGTTGACTTTGAACCCAATAAGCAATGGTTCAAACCCCAATATAATCTCCTTCATAACCTCATAAGTCACAAGGCTTCAGAGTACTTCTTCAGGAAACTGAATTTCCAAGTACAATCTGTTCCACAGATATGTGAGGTTACGTTATGTGGCTCATGAAAAGAATTGGAAATAACAAAGCTGTGCTTGTTAATCTTAGAAAGAGCGAATTTAGAGGATATAATTGTTTTAGATTGTCTGCCAGGTTTGTCAAAAAGAAATTGGGATTTGATTTATTGATCTTCATTGCTCCAGTGGGTAAAATATCTCCAAGAGATAAAATATACAGAAAGCAAATTTCCACTGAATATAAGATGTATTTTTACATTTGAGTCTGTGATAACCATTTGTCATAATTATTTTCTAGAGATTTTTTTTTTTTTTTTTTTGCCCAAGATGGCAAGTTGCTTAAAACCTAAAGCTCCTTTCAATTCTTTACAATCCAAGATTATATGGAATGGACTGGGAACAAAGAGAGGGACTGGCATTTAAAGTCTTTTAGTAAGTATAAATTTATTTCATTGAAATGGGTCTCTGTAGGATAGGAACCCAACTTTCCCCATCTGTATCTCCATCTCCTTCTCCCATGACACACCCCACTAATGGTTTCCAGTGGCAGAAGTCCAAGATACAGTAATCCTGTTTGTTTGATGACTAAACATCCTTTTATGCCTGGAGGATCAACTCTAACAGTCAAACAAACTGAATTAGTGCCTAATGCCGAAACCAGAGCACTCTCTGGACTTTAAAGAGTGGCCTGAATCACCAATATTTCTATTCTAATTAGTGACTCCCTAGAGGAAAAATCACTTTGCTTCACTTCAGTTGATTATGACAAACTTTTGGGAATATAATTGGCCAAAAGAGCACTGAGTTTAAAATGCATGTTGAGGTTCTTGGGTAGCATGAATCTATACCAAGTATACATAGAGACCATGAACTGGCATATGTTTCTCACTTTCTCAAAGTAAATGTTTTGATTTGACTTGATTTGCATTTAGGGTAAGTAAAATTGAAACTGAGATGAATGTGTAAGCTGTTTAGAAAGACGTGCCTAAGTCTGATCTGAATTTTACCAAACGTTAATTAACCCTTTAGGGAGAGGAATTTTGCATTATTTATTTGTCCTACTCATATATAGCCTGGCTAGAGCTTATGGTTGCCAACATACTATTATTTCATGAAATCTCCCTCTTACTACGTGAAAATCTTTCACATGTTCAGATTGTTTGCCCTCCTGACCTGGAACAGAAGACCTGCTCTCTGGAAAGGTGATGTCCCAAGGAAGACCTGACACTGGGGATTCTGTTATAGTTAGTTATTCTAGGAAGGAATAGCAAACTCCCTGGATCTTCTGTGGCATGGAAAGCAAATTGTGAACTAGAAGTAAAGAACAGAGAGTGAGATGGAGCCCAAGATAGAGTATTTCTCCTTCACAATGTAGTTTCAGGTAGACTTCTATGATATAATCCTAACATAGAGATTTGTGATTTAGGAAGTAACATTATTCAATGACATCCTCTTCCCCACTCTTCTAAGGTGCTTTCCAAGTTCCAGGAACTGCATTTTTAGATAAATAAGACCATAGGGAAAGGAATTATGTCATCATGACTATGCACATAGAAAGACCAATAGTAAAGAGAAAACTTTTATCTTGTATGTTAGACTTTCATTATTTTTCTTTTTCATATGAAATCACCAATATTTAGAAGAGTATTGGACATCATTTCTTGCCACAGACTGAGTACTTCACTGTTACTAACTATGGTTGGACTCCAGTTGAACCTGTTCTGAATTAATCTGAAGTTCTTATTGAAATTGAAAAGAATATTTAAGGGTCAACTCCTGGTTCTGTTGACATGAATAAAGTATGCATAGAAAGTCCTGTCATCATCACAGGTAGCCCTGATAGTCACATTCTTCCAACACCATGTCATCTGTTATGTTTGGAATAGATCATCTTTCTACAACCTCCCAACTACTCACCCTGCTATGAACCATCTTTGTCACTCCCTGCTCTGAAAAAAATTTTTTTTTTTTCAGAAAGAGGGAGGTAAAAAATTAAACTAGAGTAACTTAAGCATCACATTTACTCAGAATATGTTGCTTTTTAATTTCCAGTTCAACATTTGTCTTTAATTAGGAAGAAAGAATACATATGTTACATTGTCATAGCTAGTTAATCTTATCATTTTTTTCTTTGTCCCAGTACACTTTGGAACAAATGTTATTCTCCATTCATCCTGACACTAAATTGGTTAGCCAAACCCAAAGATCTACTAATAATCCTGCTTTGGCATGGGAGAATGAGTGAGATAAGGAGGCAATAGAGGAGATGAATCGACAAATGGAAGGAATAGAATTCTGGTTGATGTCCTTGTCTCTAAGCTGTAGCAGCAAGTATTTATCCTAAGTACGTAAGATTGTTAAATAATGATGAATGCCATTTGATTATCACCTCTTGCAGTAGAAGTCTAACTCCAGATTGCATTAATCTCTTTCTCTATTTATTTGTCTCCTCTATTATCTTATATATAGATAAGGTATATGTGCACGTACCTGGTTGAAAAGGAATATCCATCTATTCAGATTCAGGGATTAATGGAATAAAAAAACCACTATTTTTTCTTTATTTAAAAAAGCCACATTTTTTATAGCATAGCCTTCTTGGTTCTCTTTCTTAAGAAAAGGTATTAAAATTTGAACCTGTTCAGAGAATGTTAATTTTAACCATCAGTTAGAATTCAAGTATCAGTTAGAATCACAAATAAGTGACTCCTCAGATTCATATGCAACTTGTAATGCAGTTTCAAGTTTGGTTGTGGCAAAATCTTAAATTATTGTGTATCTTAAATTATTGTGTATCTGGACAGTGGGAATACCCAAAAATCTTTTAAGTGATTGACCAGAATGGGAGAGGGTTTTTATACTATAACCTGAGATTTCAAAATAATAACATCTTAATCCTACTTATTCAAATAATTACCAAGTTAATATAAACAAAGAGTTTTAGAGATTGCAGAAAACCTATAGCAAAGACATTATGACCACATCATAATTCACAATCTATCTGTAATTTTAAGAGCTACAAGGATAAAATTATAATTCTTCCTTATCTAATATGACTAATATATATTAGTACAAAGATATCCAGGGCTGTTGACCAGATTGTTAAAAACTTTGATATGTGTCTATATTTCTGTTTTTGTATTAGTACCATGCTCTTTTGGTTACCGTATTCTTGTAATATAGTTTGAAGTCAGTGTGATGCCTCCAGCTTTCTTCTTTTTGCTTCAGATTGCTTTGGCTATACAAGCTCTTTTTTTGGCTCCATATTAATATTAGAATAGTTTTCTCTCGTTCTGTGAAAAATGATCTGCGTAGTTTTTTTTTTTTTTTTTTTTTTTTTTTTTTTTTGAGACAGAGTCTGGCTCTGTCACGTAGGCTGGAGTGCAGTGGCGCAATCTCTGCTCACTGCAAGCTCCGCCTCCCGGGTTCACGCCATTCTCCTGCCTCAGCCTCCTGAGTAGCTGGGACTATAGGCGCCCGCCACCATGCCTGGCTAATTTTTTTTATTTTTTAGTAGAGACGGGGTTTCACCATGTTAGCCAGGATGGTCTTGATCTCCTGACATCGTGATCCGTCCATCTCGGCCACCCAAAGTGTTGGGATTACAGGCGTGAGCCACCGCGCCCGGCCGATGTGCGTAGTTTTATAGTGATAGCATTGAATCTGTAGATTGCTTTGGACAGTATGACCATTTTAACGATATTGATTCTTCCAATCCATGAATGTGGAATGTTTTTCCTTTTTGTGTGTGTGTGTGTGTGCCATCTATGATTTATTTCATAGTAGTGTTTTGTAGTTCTCCTTATCGAAATCTTTTTCATCCTTGGTTAGATGTATTCCTCGGGATTTTATTTATTTTGTGGTTAATTGTAAATGGGATTGTGTTCTTGATTTGTCACTCAGCTTGGACGTTATTGGTGTATAGAAATGCTACTGATTTTTGTACATTGATTTTGTATCCTGAAACTTTACTGAAACTGTGTATCAGTTCCAGGAACCTTTTGGCACAGTCTTCAGGGTTTTCTATGTATAAAATCATGTTGTCAGCAAAGAGAGATCGTTTGACTACTTCTGGATGCCTTTTATTTCTTTCTCTTCCCTGATTACTCTGGCTAGGCCTTCCACTATTAATATTTTAAAGAAAGATCCTGATGTCTATCTTCTAATAAATTAAGTGTGTTATAATAAATTAATGTGTGTTATATGACACACAATTTTTAATAGAATGCTTTTTGTATATATTATATAATCCATTTTCTTTCAACCTTTTATGTGTTTTTGTTTGTAAATACCTTGAACAATGCCTTGCACATAATATAGTCAGTAATTACATAGCACTTTATATTGTAATTCTTTTTTATGAGAAAGCTAAAAAAATACAACTATAGTCTTCAGTCTTTTTTACTTCTATTAAAAGGACCAAAAGAATTTAGGTCAGCATTCTCCTTTTATAAAACATAAGAGATAAAAGCCATTTCTTGCTTTTGTTGTTGTTGTTGTTTTGTTTTGTTGGTCCTTATCCAAGTGTTATTTTTGTTAAACCAAAAACAATTTAAGAGGGAGGAAAAAAATTCCTGTCATTAACAAAGTGTATATCTGTCTATCCAGTTCAAACTAAATTAAATAAACAAACATCTATTGAGTATCTAATACGTGAGCAACAATATTCTGGGTGCTGATAGGGTTCAAGGAAATATGTGCTCTCAGAAAATATTGTATTTTTTGTTTTACAAAAACAAGCCACATAAAATGAGATGTTACACAATTCTTTACATTTTACATATGATCCAGCATTTGCATTTGTGGTTTCTTACATGTGTCATGACTATAAATTACTTAGGAATATAAATATACATGTGTGTATATATATCTGTTATACATATGCATACATAATTTTAATGTAATATTAAAAAATAATGACACTTAAGGCTTTAAATATAATATTTGTGAGAATCAGTGCTGAAAAACTGTTATCAGTTTGCTAGGTGCTCATATACATAAATTGAGATAAAGCAAATGTCTTGATCTGACATGTTTATTTTATTCAAGCAGGTCTAATAACTGAGCTGGGAAAGCTTAGAACCATTTGGTCCACTTTATTTAATCTCTGTTCTTTATAGTTTGACACTGTATGTCATTTGAGTGAAAGTTCTATTGAAATGATCTTTCTTTTAATGTATCTTGGCATCTTAGGAGCATGTTCCACAAGAAAATTTTTGATTGCTGTACATTTTTAATATCAACAACTACATAAAAAACCTCTCAGTGATTGAAATGAATTAAGCCATAATTGTCCTTGGCTTTCATGTTTTGGTAAAGCCACAGAATTAAACACCTTGGAGATTTTCTTAGACCTTAAGTTTATTTCTCACCATTTAACATTTCTGAAGTTAAAAGAACCACAAAAAAAAGTCAAGGGCAACTGCAGAAGTAAACTCAGAACAATAAAGAGTGAGTTTAAAGAGCACCTGGAATTGATGATAAAAGTGAAACTATCAGCCATCTATATTTTTCCTCATATAATGTAAAATATCAGTTGATAAGCTTGTCACAAACTGGAGTGACAATTAATTGAATTATTGAGCATTAGTGACTACATTTTCTTAAATGTATGGATATTTAATATGATATAAATATGCAATATACTTTCCACTTGAATGGGTTGGAATTTAGCAATTTTTTAATTGTAGTTTTACACTTTCCATTAATTTGACAGCATTGAATGTAAATCAGCTTGAGTTTATTGCTCTAAGAGAGTATAAGTTAAAAACTGTATAATTACAAATTCATCTAAGAGGACATTAAAAGTGACTTTTAAACTAAGGAAGTACATGTCCAGACATTGTGGCTCTGGGTCACTCTCACCACTATTCCCTGCCACCAGGATTAACCTGTAATTCCTAATACCCATAGGAGTAAGGTTCTGACATGATGTCATTTGCTATAGCTCTCTTTTTTTTTTTTTTTTTTTAGTATTGCATGAGCATATCAACTGGTATAAATGAATTCTGATTTTAAAAATCCATTTAATCTCCAACTCTGTTGTTTTACAGTAAATAGTGATTTAAAACAAATGTTCTACATTTTAAAAAGTTTGTTTTATTATAACTAAGTTCTGGGATACAGGTGCAGAACGTGCAGGTTTGTTACGTAGGTATACACTTGCCATGGTGGTTTGCTGCACCCATCAACCCATCATCTACATTAGGAATATTCTACTTTTTAATCCAATATTTCTGCATTGGTTAATAATTTTAAGAAGAATAAAAATTATGTATACACTACAAAGATTAAATGATAAGTTACATAATGATAAGAGAATTCTTGAAACTGATGGGATATTGATTCAATTGGTCAAAAATAAATCACTCCTTTCATAAACGAAGGAAACGTCAAAGCCCTGTATTCATAATGTCCATGAAAATGGAGGGGAATGCAAGGGAGTAAGAGAGTACAGGGCTGGAGAAAGAATTGAACCACTCAATGCTATTTAACAGGAAAAGTTTAAAGTTTTCATTGATCCACCATTGTTTTGACACATATGGCTAAACGTATGCATTCTTATTTTTTATATTTTACCTTTTATTAGGGCAGATACAAATTTCATCTCAGTGTTTAGTTTCCTGACAAAATGTCTCTATGATCTCTGCCAGGCCACACATAGTGCTCTTTAGGAATAATTGTTCCTGTTATGAACTGAATTGTGTCCCTCTCCCACCAAGTTCTTATGTTGAAGTCCTGATCTCTAGGACTTCAGAATGTGGCTTTATTTGGAGACAGGGTTTATACAAAAGTATAATTATTAAGCTAATTATATTGTATTGGGGGGCCCCAATACAATATAATTGGTGTCCTTTTAAGAAGGAAGATTAGGACACAGATGCACACAGGGAAGGCCATGTAAAGATAAAGGGAAGAGAAGATGGCCATCTTCAAGCCGAGGAGAGAAGCCTCAGAAGAAACCAGTCCTGTTGACAACTTAATCTCAGACTTCCAGCCCCAGAATTGTGAGAAAACAAATTTCTGTCTCTGTATATTTTATATATATATAATATAATTATAATATATAATTATATTATATATTATACTATAATATATAGTTCTTTATATATAATATATAAATATATACATAAATATATATAATATATAAAGAATATTATATATTATAGGATATATATAATATATAAAGAATATTATATATTATAGGATATATATATAATATATAAAGAATATATATTATAGGATATATAATATATAATATATATGATACTATCTATAATATATGATATATAATATATAATATATATGATACTATCTATAATATATAATATATATGACACTATCTATAATATATAATATATGATACTATCTATAATATATAATATATATGATACTATCTATAATATATAATATATATGATACTATCTATAATATATAATATATATGATACTATCTATAATATACTATCTATAATATATATGATACTATCTATAATATATATGATACTATCTATAATATATATGATACTATCTATAATATATAATACATGATACTATCTATAATATATATGATACTATCTATAATGTATAATATATGATACTATCTATAATATATAATATATGATACTATCCATAATATATAATATATGATACTATCTATAATATATAAAGAACTATATTATAATTATATATTATATATTATAGAGAGAACTATATTAGTTCTCTCTATATATAATTGCAAATCTAAACCAAGACAGGTAGAATTGTGCTAGGAAGAGAAGAGTCTTAATAAAATTATCATTATGACCTAAGTTCTTCCGAGAGTTAAGACAGGAATAACATTTTTTTCACTCGGTTTATACTATTCCTGCTCCATGATACGGTGCTGAAATGGGAAACCTATCCAAGGGGATCTAATTATTTCTCCTAAATTATTAATATATTTGGACATTAAGCTTTTGATATTTTCCATAGCATTAGAAATGCCCTGATATTAGTTCATTACTTTTACCACTATAGTTTTAAAGCCTGGAATAATGCATAATATAATGATTTATTTTCTGGCTTTACTATAATGCAAAAGAAATAGGAATACCTGCCATGAAATCAAAGGAAGGCATTGATTTATGCTCTGGGAAGAATGAATTGAAAATTGAATAAAGACAAGAGAAAATAAAATTTCCTAGACCCAGAACAAATGGAAATTGATTTAATTTACTGAAAAGAAATCGCCTCTTTGAGTAGTCAAGCAAAGCATTAGGATCTTGCTGACTACCAGGAAAGGACAAATTAGAATTAGAAGAATCTATGAGTATGTGGACTCCAAATTACTATAGTATCTTTCTGGTAAATTTCTCCATTTTACACAAAACAGTATGTAACATTTCAGGGAATCATGGCTTTTTTCCACCAGTAATGTATAATGATATTAAAATATTTTCTTTGCCTTGCCTTTTAAAAAAAGATTAAATTATATTCTGTCTTGCAGGCACACACCACATGCATTTTTGACAGTGGTGTTTGAAACATATGGGCATTTCAGATGTCTACAGTTTTCCTAATAACTTTTGACTCCTCTAAAAAAACTTCATTTCCAGAGCCATGGCTAAGAATCCTTGGACAGTGAGAGATGGGGACGGTCACATGTATCAGGACATAGACTTCTTGCTAGTATAGGACTGACCCCAAGCAACACTTTTAGATTTATAACGAAAGGGTCAGGGAAACTGCCTGCCTGCCAACTGTAAGAAAGTGACAACAAGGGAAGTTTAAAAAATATGTATTTAAATATTCTCTGTACTGAAAAACAATGTGGCAGAATTGAAATAAAAGTATAGTACCTAAAAATCCTAAAGATTTGAACTTCTTTTTGATCTCACCTTAGAGGGAAATTTTGACAAAAAACTGCACAGGACTTAATGTAGCACAAAATACATTGAACTATTGGCATCATGTGAATGACATAATTTAAGACAGAATAGGACAGACATTTGGAAATACGTGTGTCTTTCTATCTGAAGACCATCTCCATGGTTGGGATGAGTGATTTCCCCTGAGTGGAGTGGCTAGTCTCATATCATTTATCTTAGAGCAGGAAAGGAGGGAGATGGGCTTGAAGTGGTGAATGAGAGGTTCACCTTGTCCCCAAGTTAGCCTACAAGACAGGTCCCAGCAATTGTAATTTCTCTTGGTATTTTAGTTTTGTTATTTTCCAGTGACCTCTAAAGTTGCAATAGAGAGAGCTTAGTGTAAGCTGTGCTCTGGGGAATGGAGGGACTAGTTATGTCGATGCTTGGGGCAAGCAGTTCCCAGCAAAGAAATTGGCAGACATATGGAGAAGCCTATTGTAAGAGTTAATCCACAAAGATCCAAGATGAAATGCTCTGGCAGGTTAGGAGACTAAGTTAGTGACAACTGACGACCAACATAAACTTTGGGAGTTCACGATATTTTTTCTCAGGAGGATTCAGTAGAGGAAAGGCTGTTTAGAAGCTTGTATCATTAATCTTTGGGCATTATGGGAATAAGTTTCTAGAGATCTTGGAGGGGGCCAAAGATTATTAGCTTAAACTATATCTCTGGACTTGAAGTTCAACCTGTTCCCCAAGAACTTAGAAAATGGATAACAACTTTTCTTCTATTAAAATGTAAAAGCAAAGCCCAATCAGTTAGAGTTGAATGTTCTGGACCAGGCAGACATCATAGTAACAGTAGTGTGAAGAAGGGGAGGGTTAATCAAAACAAGGATGGTCAGGTAGTAGAAGCATGGAAAAAAAACAAAATTAGTTGTTGATCGTTTCCTTGGAGGAGTGTTTCAGATACGGCAAACCTAAATTAAAATTAATCTTATCATGGTGTCATTGATGAGATTATCCCTATTCTATTATTTTTTTATTATACTTTTAAGTTTTAGGGTACATGTGCACAATGTGCAGGTTTGTTACATATGTATACATGTGCCATGTTGGTGTGCTGCACCCATTAACTCGTCATTTAACATTAGGTATATCTCCTAATGCTATCCCTCCCCCCTCCCCCAACCCCACAAAAGGCCCCGGTGTGTGATGTTCCCCTTCCTGTGTCCAAGTGTTCTCATTGTTCAATTCCCACCTATGAGTGAGAACATGTGGTGTTTGGTTTTTTGTCCTTGCGATAGTTTGCTGAGAATGATGGTTTCCAGCTTCATCCATGTCCCTACAAAGGACATGAACTCATCATTTTTTATGGCTGCATAGTATTCCATGGTGTATATGTGCCACATTTTCTTAATCCAGTCTATCATTGTTGGACATTTGGGTTGGTTCCAAGTCTTTGCTATTGTGAGTAGTGCCACAATAAACATACATGTGCATATGTCTTTATAGCAGCATGATTTATATTCCTTTGGGTATATACCCAGTAATGGGATGGCTGGGTCAAATGGTATTTCTAGTTCTAGATGCCTGAGGAATCACCACACTGACTTCCACAGTGGTTGAACTAGTTTACAGTCCCACCAACAGTGTAAAAGTGTTCCTATTTCTCCACATCCTCTCCAGCACCTGTTGTTGCCTGACTTTTTAATGATCGCCATTCTAACTGGTGTGAGATGGTATCTCATTGTGGTTTTGATTTGCATTTCTCTGATGGCCAGTGATGATGAGCATTTTTTCATGTGTTTTTTGGCTGCATAAATGTCTTCTTTTGGGAAGTGTCTGTTCATATCCTTCACCCACTTGTTGATGGAGTTTTTTTTTTTGTAAATTTTTTTGAGTTCATTGTAGATTCTGGATAATAGCCCTTTGTCAGATGAGTAGATTGCAAAAATTTTCTCCCATTCTGTATGTTACCTGTTCAATCTGATGGTAGATTCTTTTGCTGTGCAGAAGCTCTTTAGTTTACTTAGATCTCATTTGTTATTTTTGGCTTTTGTTGCCATTGCTTTTGGTGTTTTAGACAAGAAGTCCTTGCCCATGCCTATGCCCTGAATGGTAATGCCTAGGTTTTCTTCTAGGGTTTTTATGGTTTTAGGTCTAACGTTTAAGTCTTTAATCCATCTTGAATTAATTTTTGTGTAAGGTGTAAGGAAGGGATCCAGTTTCAGCTTTCTACATATGGCTAGCCAGTTTTCCCAGCACCATTTATTAAATAGGGAATCCTTTCCCCATTGCTTGTTTTTGTCAGGTTTGTCAAAGATCAGATAGTTGTAGATATGTGGCGTTATTTCTGAGGGCTCTGTTCTGTTCCATTGATCTATATCTCTGTTTTGGTACCAGTACCATGTTGTTTTGGTTACTGTAGCCTTGTAGTATAGTTTGAAGTCAGGTAGCGTGATGCCTCCAGCTTTGTTCTTTTGGCTTAGGATTGACTTGGCGATGCGGGCTCTTTTTTGGTGCTGTATGAACTTTAAAGTAGTTTTTTCCAATTCTGTGAAGAAAGTCATTGGTAGCTTGATGGGGATGGCATTGAATCTATCAATTACCTTGGGCAGTATGGCCATTTTCATGATATTGATTCTTCCTACCCATGAGCATGGAATGTTCTTACATTTGTTTGCATCCTCTTTTATTTCCTTGAGCAGTGGTTTGTAGTTCTCCTTGAAGAGGTCCTTCACATCCCTTGTAAGTTGGATTCCTAGGTATTTTAGTTCTCTTTGAAGCAATTGAGAATGGGAGTTCACTCATGATTTGACTCTCTGTTTGTCTGTTATTGGTGTATAAGAATGCTTGTGATTTTTGCACATTGATTTTGTATCCTGAGACTTTGCTGAAGTTGCTTATCAGCTTAAGGAGATTTTGGGCTGAGACGATGGGGTTTTCCAGATGTACAATCATGTCATCTGCAAACAGGGACAATGTGACTTCCTCTTTTCCTAATTGAATACCCTTTATTTCCTTCTCCTGCCTAATTGCCCTGGCCAGAACTTCCAACACTATGTTGAATAGGAGTGGTGAGAGAGGGCATCCCTGTCTTGTGCCAGTTTTCAAAGGGAATGCTTCCAGTTTTTGTCCATTCAGTATGATATTGGCTGTGGGTTTGTCATATATAGCTCTTATTATTTTGAGATATGTTCCATCAATACCTAATTTATTGAGAGTTTTTAGCATGAAGGTTGTTGAATTTTGTCAAAGGCCTTTTCTGCATCTATTGAGATATTCATGTGGTTTTTGTCATTGGTTCTGTTTATATGCTGGATTATCTTTATTGAATTTCATATGTTGAACCAGCCTTGCATCCCAGGGATGAAGCCCTCTTGATCATGGTGGATAAGCTTTTTGATGTGCTGCTGGATTCGGTTTGCCAGTATTTTATTGAGGATTTTTGCATCGATGTTCATCAGGGATATTGGTCTAAAATTCTCTTTTTTGTTGTGTCTCTGCCAGGCTTTGGTATCAGGATGATGCTGGCCTCATAAAATGAGTTAGGGAGGATTCCCCCTTTTTCTATTCATTGGAATAGTTTCAGAAGGAATGGTACCAGTTCCTCCTTGTACCTCTGGTAGAATTTGGCTGAATCCATCTGGTCCTGGACTTTTTTTGGTTCGTAAGCTATTAATTATTGCCTCAATTTGAGAGCCTGTTATTGGACTATTCAGAGATTCAACTTCTTCCTGGTTTAGTCTTGGGAGGGTGTATGTGTTGAGGAATTTATCCATTTCTTCTAGATTTTCTAGTTTAGTTGCGTAGAGGGGTTTATAGTATTCTCTGATGGTAGTTTGTATTTCTGTGGGATCGGTGGTGATATCCCCTTTATCATTTTTTATTGCATTGATTCTTTTCTCTTTTCTTCTTTATTAGTCTTGCTAGCTGTCTATCAATTTTGTTGATCCTTTCAAAAAACCAGCTCCTGGATTCATTGATTTTTTGAAGGGTTTTTTGTGTCTCTATTTCCTTCAGTTCTTCTCTGATCTTAGTTATTTCTTGCCTTCTGCTAGCTTTTGAATGTGTTTGCTCTTGCTTTTCTAGTTCTTTTAATTGTGATGTTAGGGTGTCAATTTTAGACCTTTCCTGCTTTCTCTTGTGGGCATTTAGTGCTATAAATTTCCCTCTACACACTGCTTTGAATGTCCCAGAGATTCTGGTATGTTGTGTCTTTGTTCTCATTGGTTTCAAAGAACATCTTTATTTCTGCCTTCATTTCATTATGTATTCAGTACTCATTCAGGAGCAGATTGTTCAGTTTCCACGTAGTTGAGCGGTTTTGAGTGAGTTTCTTAATCCTGAGTTCTAGTTTGATTGCACTGTGGTCTGAGAGACAGTTTGTTATAATTTCTGTTCTTTTACATTTGCTGAGGAGTGCTTTACTTCCAATTATGTGGTCAATTTTGGAATAGGTGTGGTGTGGGGCTGAAAAGAATATATACTCTGTTGATTTGGGGTGGACAGTTCTGTAGATGTCTATTAGGTCGGCTTGGTGCAGAGCTGAGTTCAATTCCTGGATATCCTTGTTAACTTTCTGTCTCGTTGACCTGTCTAATGTTGACAGTGGGGTGTTAAAGTCTCCCATTATTATTGTGTGGGAGTCTAAGTCTCTTTGTAGGTCTCTAAGGGCTTGCTTTATGAATCTGGGTGCTCCTGTATTGGGTGCATATATATTGAGGATAGTTAGCTCTTCTTGTTGAATTGATCCCTTTACCATTATGTAATGGCCTTCTTTGTCTCTTTTGATCTTTGTTGATTTAAAGTCTGTTTTATCAGAGACTAGGATTGCAACCCCTGCCTTTTTTTGTTTTCCATTTGCTTGGTAGATCTTCCTCCATCCCTTTATTTTGAGCCTATGTGTGTCTCTGCAGGTGAGATGGGTATCCTGAATACAGCACACTGATGCCTCTTGACTCTTTATCCAATTTGCCAGTCTGTGTCTTTTAATTGGAGCATTTAGCCCATTTACATTTAAGGTTAATATTGTTATGTGTGAATTTGATCCTGTCATTATGATGTTAGCTGGTTATTTTGCTCATTAGTTGATGCAGTTTCTTCCTAGCATCGATGGTCTTTACAATTTGGTATGTTTTTGCAGTGGCTGATACCGGTTGTTCCTTTCCATGTTTACTGCTTCCTTCAGGAGCTCTTTTAGGGCGGGCCCGGTGGTGACAAAATCTCTCAGCATTTGCTTGTCTGTAAAGGATTTTATTTCTCCTTCACTTATGAAGCTTAGTTTGGCTGGATATGAAATTCTGGGTTGAAAATTCTTTCCTTTAAGAATGTTGAATATTGGCCCCCACTCTCTCCTAGCTTGTAGAGTTTCTGCCGAGAGATCAGCTGTTAGTCTGATGGGCTTCCCCTTGTGGGTAACCTGACCTTTCTCTCTGGCTGCCCTTAACATTTTTTCCTTCATTTCAACTTTGGTGAATCTAACAATTATGTGTCTTGGAGTTGCTCTTCTCGAGGAGTATCTTTGTGGCGTTCTCTGTATTTCCTGAATCTGAACGTTGGCCTGCCTTGCTAGATTGGGGAAGTTCTCCGGGATAATATCCTGCAGAGTGTTTTCCAACTTTATTCCACTCTCCCCATCACTTTCAGGTACACCAATCAGATGTAGATTTGGTCCTTTCACATAGTCCCATATTTCTTGGAGGCTTTGTTCATTTCTTTTTATTCTGTTTTCTCTAAACTTCTCTTCTTGCTTCATTTCATTCATTTGATCTTCCATCACTGATACCCGTTCTTCCAGTTGATCGAATCGGTTACTGAGGCTTGTGCATTCGTCACGTAGTTCTTGTGCTGTGGTTTTCAGCTCCATCAGGTCCTTTAAGGACTTCTCTGCATTGGTTATTCTAGTTAGCCAGTCGTCTAATCTTTTTTCAAGGTTTTTAACTTCTTTGCCATGGGTTCGAACTTCCTCCTTTAGCTCGGAGTAGTTTGATCGTCTGAAGCCTTCTTCTCTCAACTCGTCAAAGTCATTCTCTGTCCAGCTTTGTTCCATTGCTGGTGAGGAGCTGCATTCCTTTGGAGGAGGAGAGGCACTCTGATTTTTAGAATTTTCAGTTTTTCTGCTGTTTTGTCCCCATCTTTGTGGTTTTATCTACCTTTGGTCTTTGATGATGGTGACGTACAGATGGGGTTTTGGTGTGGATGTCCTTTCTGTTTGTTAGTTTTCCTTCTAATAGTCAGGACCCTCAGCTGAAGGTCTGTTGCAGTTTGCTGGAGGTCCACTTCAAACCCTTTTTGCCTGGGTATCAGCAGCAGAGGCTGTAGAACAGCAGATATTGGTGAACAGCAAATGTTGCTGCCTGATCGTTCCTCTGGAAGTTTTGTCTCAGAGGAGTACCCAGCCATGTGATGTGTCAGTCCACCCCTACTGGGGGGTGCCTCCCAGTTAGGCTACTCGGGGATCAGGGACCCACTTGAGGAGGCAGTCTGTCCATTCTCAGATCTCCAGCTGCGTGCTGGGAGAACCACTACTCTCTTCAAAGCTGTCAGACAAGGACATTTAAGTCTGCAGAGGTTTCTGCTGCCTTTTGTTTGGCTATGCCCTGCCCCCAGAGGTGGAGTCTACAGAGGCAGGCAGGCCTCCGTGAGCTGCGTTGGGCTCCACCCAGTTCGAGCTTCCTGGCCGCTTTGTTTACCTACTCAAGCCTTGGCAATGGCGGGCACCCCTTTCCCAGCCTCGCTGCCACCTCGCAGTTTGATCTCAGACTGCTGTGCTAGCAATGAATGAGGCTCCGTGGGTATAGGACCCTCCGAGCCAGGTGCGGGATACAATCTCCTGGTGTGCCGTTTGCTAAGACGGTTGGAAAAGCGCAGTATTAGGGTGGGAGTGACCCGATTTTCCAGGTGCCATGTGTCACCCCTTTCCTTGGCTAGGAAAGGGAATTCCCTGACCCCTTGCACTTCCCGGGTGAGGCAATGCCTCGCCCTGCTTCGGCTCATGCTCGGTGTGCTGCACCCATTGTCTTGCACCCACTGTCTGCCAATCCCCAGTGAGATGAACCGGGTACCTCAGTTGGAAATGCAGAAATCATTTGTCTTCTGTGTCGCTCACGCTGGGAGCTGTAGATTGGAGCTGTTCCTATTCAGCCATCTTGGCTCCACCCACATGTATCCCTATTCTATTATTAAATAAATATATTTGGCCATCTTATCCTGATACATACTTAATTCACTCAGTTCTCTTTGCTCCAAATATGTGTTCACCAAGCAACATTTTGATTATGTTTTAGCTTCTTATACATATGTACATTAGAAGCTTTAAAATTTCAATCTGGGGAGATGTTAGCTGGAAGTATAGAACTGAAGGGGAGGCTCAAGACTGCATTCAAATAATGTGAAAATTTAAAATAAAATTTGGTTGCATTTAAATTGGGGAAGTTTGCAGGAAGAATTTATGGAAACCTTGGTAGGCTCAAGCTGGTGTTCTCAATGGTGTTCTGTTTTATATTTCAGAACAGAAAGATTAATGCAAATCTACTTATTTGATAGATTAACAATGATGACTTAGAAAGAATAAACGTTTAGTTCTTATTCACTTAACAGTACAGGAATAACAAAACAGTAAAAATGTATGCAGAGGTAGCTCTTAGATCATTTGGAACAGTTTTTATTCAACTCAGGAAAAGAGAAAAGAACATAGAGAAGTATGCCTGGGATATTTTTAGATGCCAGCACTGGAATCGGCATACATCACTTCCACTGCTTCTTGCCACATATAACTGCAAAGGAGATGAGCAATATAGTCTAGTATGTCCCCAAGAAGACGAAAAAATAGCCTTGCTCAACCACTAACAGCCTATCACAATATAGGCTCATTGTACTGATAAAATCCATTTTCTGAGACCATAAGGCTGACAGCCAACCTTTGAATGAATAGTAAATTCCACAAGGTAATAGATGTCACATAATGAGGTGCTTGTGGGAATAGACTGTGATAGATGACAGACAGATAGATAGATAGATAGATAGACAGATAGCTGACTGTAGAGATAGCCTTCACTACAAAAGAAACACTACACTTCTATGATATTTTTCTTCTTTAGATGTACATATGAACAACTTTTTCATACAATGGCTAGTTTTTCTTTACAGTATTAATATCTTTAATATTATACAATATTAATACACGTACATATGCATATGTATATATAAAAGTTTGTGCATATATACCCACGCATCCATAGCTACAGTGACTGGACATCAGCTCATTTAGTAAGTTACAGTGGTTCAATTGTATCCTTGGGAGATTGTTTCTAGGACCCCCAGAGATAACAAAATCCAGGGATGCTCAAGTCCCTTATATAAATTGGTGTAGTATTTACATTTAAGCTACACACAACCTCCCATATACTTTAAGTCATCTCTAGATTACTTATAATACCTACTACAATGTAATACTATGTAAATAGTTGTTATACCATTTTTTAAATTTGTACTATTTTTATTGTGTTATTTACTTATTGAATATTTTTCTATCTATGCTTAGTTGAATCTAGAGATGTGGGAACCCAGCCCACACATACAAAGGGCTGTTTGTATATAAAATCATGACAAAATCATTTGATATTTTAGTTATACTTTTTTTTTAAATTACTATAAAGGTTTCATTCAATGATATCATCATCTCTCACGGATTTAACTCTTTAATTACCATATATATGCTGATGAGTCTCAAAATTTATATTTTGCCCAGATCTCTCTTCTGAATTTCAGACTTTTCTAACTAACTGCCTTTTTAAGAACTGCAGCTGGATGTTTAATTTGGGATTGCGAATGTGACATATCTAAAAGAGGAGAACCTGATCTTAACCACACCCCCAAACGAACTCCTCCCCCATCTCAGGAAATGGGGTGTCTCTTCTTCTCAGTGTTCAGGATTCATAGGCTATGGTGCCATCTTTGACTTTTTTCTTTCACTCACAACTTACAGAAAATCTCTCAGCCAATACTGTCAGCTCTGTCTTCAAAATGTGTCTGTAATGCAACCATTTATTTCCATCCTCACAGTCATACTCCTGGCTCAGACCACCATCATGAGGATGTGGAGTTTTGAAGTCACCCTTTAATTGTTTCCTCAAGGGCTACCCTTCAGTGCAATCCCAACCCTGTAGTCAGAGAGAACCTTACAATCTAAGACAGGTAACATTACTCCTCTGTTTCAACCCTCTGGTGGATTGTCATTTTGGGGTAAAGGATAAAATCCATACAACGACTGCAAAGCCCTACTGGATCTACTCAACTTCTCGTTATCTTTCTGAGGTCATCCCCAACTACTCTCCATTTTGTTCCTGCTGCCCTGGACATGCTGGCCTCTGGCTTTTCCTTGACAAGCCATGCACACTTCTACCTCAAGTGTGCATTGAGGTAGAAGTTTTTCTATTCCTGGAATGGTCTTCTCTCAGACACTCTTCTGGTTCCCTCCCTCTTTTTCTTCAGTCATTTGCTAAAATAGTTACTTTGTTAGTGATGTCTTCTCTTGGCACCCATCTAAGATGTTGGCTCCTGTTCCCTGACACTGCATATCTCATTGTATATTTTACTTTTTCCCTTGGATGCTTATTGCTTCTAGCATAGCATTTTAGTTAATGATCCTTTAATTGCTGATGTCTTGTATTAGAACACTGACTCCATTAAGTCAGGGATTTTTTTCGGTTTTGTTTGTTGATATTTCCCTAGTACCCAGAAAAATGCCTTGGACAGAGTAGGTATTCATAAATATTTGTTACATTAATCCCATATTCATATACCTATTAATACCATGCCTTCTTTGACATGGGGAGCCGCAGACAGGATATTTCGTATTTTTGTGTTTCAGAATAGAATATCTCCTATTGTGAGATCTACTATTGTTCAGAATAACTTTGACACTTTTACTATCTACCTTTTAGCTGTTAACAATCCATTTTTTGCTTATGTACAAATATGTTTATGTTTATACTCAAAATTTTGTTTATTGATATATTTTAATTTCTTAAGGCCAAAGTTCTTCCTACTTTCTGTTTGTTTTTTCCTTCTTACTTTTACTTACTTTAGATTGAAGGCATTATTATTCTAGATTATATTTAGAGGGATTGTATATTTGTCAACCAAAATCTCTCTTTCCCCAGTAAGTTTTGAGGGAATGATGTTTCTGTTATGATTTTGTAGATATTTCTAATTCCTTTTTGCCTTCCAACTACATGAGACTTCTATTTGCTTAATCTTGTAGGAAGTTCTCAGAATCTGTACATCTCTATCATGATCTGTAACTGCTAATTTAGAGTTAAAAGCATAAGAAGGCTGCATGGAAATATATAGAAATATAAACAAAATTCCTATATTTTCTTTAGCTCATAAACTGTCTCTTTCCTCATTGAGTTCAGATAGAGCAAAATGTACATGTTCTCATTTTCAGGTTATAAGTTATATTAATTATAATAGGGTAATATTCAAGTCAAAAATTATTTTTTCATTTTAATAGTATTGTGAACCAACATCAAAAATTCTCCCTCTGTTTTTTGTTGCCTGACCCTTATAAAACCATCTTGAGAATTTCCATCATGTATGTGGTTATGAGATTACAACTGTGGTTAATTTCAACAACAACTTTGCCAATAAAGACTCAAGGGGGCAAGTAGCAAAGGGTTTTCTCCACTCTCTAGAATCTAGATAGGCCTTTTCCATGACATGGCCTACCTCTGAATAGGGCTTGAGCAGGTGACACTTAGAAATGGGCATCTGGCATATTTGTTCATATTCAGCATATACCAATACCATGATGTACTGATGCATGTGCTTTTGAATTTTTCATTTGAATTTTCAATTTCCCTTCAGAATCTGTTAATAGAAAATGAGCATCCCTGGTATTCACCTATGTCACAAATTTGTCCAAGACAGGAAAGTGGGGTTAGTGACGTTTATCCAGAAATGAAATCAAGGGCATGGAGCTCATTTTCACAAGAAATATATTGTATTCAATAATGTGAGAGCAGCTAAGTTTAAAAGATATTGGGCATCCACTGAGTCCCAGAGGCTGTACCCTCAATATATAAATGATCTGTCTTTGCTATTTTAGCAGGGTCAACAGCCATTATTTTTGGTAGCCACTTGTCATAGTTCCTTGTGATTAAAAATGCAATGGTTATCGTCAGTGTACATTACCTCACTCCTGCCACCTATCCCGGGCCTCTTCTCAGATGACCCAAGGTTCAGACATGGTTGTAGCACAGAATACTGAACTATGTGGTTAGAGGGTTTTCTTCCATTTGTAACCTCACAAAGTGCAACATTGGCTGCCACTGAATCAAAAGAGAATGAATCAGAAGCATGTGAATAAATGTGAAGAATTATAATGTGGTATAAAGAGCACTGCATTTAAAGTTAGAAGACCTGGGATGAAGCTTTTGCCCTAACATTTAACAGCTCTACTGTTAATGACTGCCTACCTACTTTCTAGGATTGTTGTGAGGATTAGGTAAACTGTGTAAGCAAGACTTATTTTGTATAAGCTATAAAGCACCTAACTATCAATAATACATGTTGGCCGGGCATGGTGGCTCACGCCTGTAATCCCAGCACTTTGGGAGGCCGAGGTGGGCAGATCACCTGAGGTCAGGAGTTCATCCAGGCCAAAATGGCAAAACCCAGTCTCTACTAAAAGTACAAAAATTAGCCAGGCGTGGTGGTGGGCGCCTGTAATCTCAGCTACTCAGGAGGCTGAGGTGAGAGAATTGCATGAACCTGGGAGGTGGAGGTTGTGGTGAGCTTAGATCATGCCACTGCACTGAAGCCTGGGCGACAGAGCAAAATTCTGTCTCAAATAATAATAATAATACATGCTATTATTGATAATATTATTATTTATGGCTGAATAAGACCAAACCCTGTAAAAGTTAGAAAGCTTGTTTTTAGTATCTGGAAGATCCTTAGGGGTATTAAATAGATACCTTTCTTCATCTCTCAACAGATGTTTCAATTCATGCCATCACATCTTTGAAAACTGGCAATTCAACCTTGCCTTGAGCATTTCCATGTACAGGAAACACATGATCTCTTAAGGAGTCCATTTCACCGTCAGACGGTTCTGAAGGATGTGAGTGGTTCTCAACATTGAAACCAGTGCTGGCTCCTGGTTTGAATTTCTGTAGCCACTCCAGTCTCGTTCTTGTGCTCACCATTCCTCCAAATTGGCCGCCTATGACTTCTATGACAATAAATCCAATGGACCCTTGCCAAGCTTATCATATTTTCTCAGCAGCATTTGACCCAGTTGGCATTCTTGACTTCTTCAAGGCTCCTTCTGTCCTTGATTCCCACTATGTCACTTTCTCCTGGATGCCTGCCTATGTCTCTGGGCATGGCTTCCCCATCTCCTTTGCCAATGTATCTACCTCAATTCCAAAAACAATCATAACCTCCAGAAATGCTTTGTCCCACACAAAATATTTACCTAAATGTTAAAGTTTTCTTTAGGCTTCCAGTCAGTTTACTCAGGAGTTGATTTAAAAGGAGTTGATAAATAGAAAATATTCACTTTTCTCCTTAAAAGAATAACATAATTTGGATGGATATTCTTTTTTATTAAAATGATATTCTTTTTTATTAAAAATAATATGCAAGCAAAAAACATTGATGATCTCACTTTGTGTCCATTACTGAATTATATCTGCAAAATTCCCAAGTACTTATGTTGACTGGTAATTCAAGAAGAATATTATTCAATATTAATGATTTAATTCAAGATACATGCACATAACACTTTTTTTCAATTTCCAATTATTACTCACACTCTGAATTAACCTGTAATAATTAAAAAGAAAATAAGACCTTTCATAAGGAAGAAAAACCAGTGCAGGATATATAATCTACAAATACGGTGAAATTGCTTTAATGGGTTATCTGTCTCGAGCGGAGAGCCTAATGCAAAGTAGGTGGAAGATTTAAAGGTGAAGCAAACTCCCTTGTTATTTTTATTTAATAAACACCATCACAACTGACCTTTAAAGCTGATAAAACTATAAGGGAAGACAAGAACAGATGCAACATTCTGCCAGACCTATTTGAATATATTTAACATATGGCCAAGGAGTGATTCTTTTTCCAAAGAAATTTCAAGTTGATTTTACTTCTGTGTTGGTATTTTGTACTATTAAGGTTTTTTGAATAAAATGAATTGAAATAGTAAGTTAACTGGAAGGGAAAACGAGCCTTTCCTTTTGCTGGTCTTAGAGAGGGTTTGAGATAATAGGAACAATGGCTTCCAGTGACATAAAGAGGTGAAATATATAAGCAAGCATCTGTGTTTGCTAATTCTGTGTCAGGCTGAGGTATGATCTCAGTACTATCCACAGAGGTGTGGGAATTAAGCTGCCTTTTATTTGACCTCAACATTTTTGATTTGTTATATTGTCATTTAGTCTGTGAAAATGTTCAACCTAATCTTTCCAGCCTCTTATAATCAACCGGAGTGGTATTGATCTTCCTGTCATTCTCCCATGCACCTTGAAAAATCATGTATGAGTGAGAATGTGCACACTCTTATAGATGATCTGAAGCCATTCAATATGCTCTTAATTATAAATAGCTCTTTCTAAATTTACTACAGCTATAAACATCATATAGTGATATATACATATATATTCCCTCTCTTATCCATACCCGCACATTTATATTCATACTTTTATGGTCACATATGCCACAAATTTAACTCCCAGATGTCTCTCTGTGATATCTATTCTGTACTCACCCTCTAAACAATCTCAAGCCATTAAGAGATACCTGACTATGAATGAATTGCACACATGGCTCGCAAAGAAACCCTGGAAGGAAACATGCTGCTTTGAGCTGCCTTCAGTTTGTTTGTTTTCAAATATTTTAGCTAAGAGTAGGAGAGATCATTCAGCATCTACTAAATACATGCCTTCAGGAAATGGCAAACATAACAAGCAGTCACATTAACTATGTAGGAGGACACAATTCCTTTTGAGACATCAGGGCAATGTTTCTAAGTGCAAAAACAGTAAACAGAAATGCAACTTCAGGGCTCTGTGCAACTTTATTCGTAAGGGATAATTTTCTTGCTACATTTAGTGTTCTTTTTTTCTTCAGTCCCATATTTTGTTTTGAAAGTTCTCAAATCTACAAAAAATTGAAATATAGCACAATAAACATTCATCTATTCTTCACTTAAAAATTAATTCAATATTTAGCTATTATTGTTTTCTTTCTCCCTATCTTAAATGCTAATACTTTGTTAATGGTGGTGGACAGCCATTTGAAGGTAAACTGCAGACATTGTGATATTTCACCTCTAAATACTTTGTCATGCATTTCTTGAGAATAAAGGCATTTTTGCATATAACCAGAATACTCACAATTAAACACATGTGAGCAGTAAATCTAATTATATTTAGTCCATATTTTGAATCATGACTTTTTTTTTTTTTTTTTTTTTTTTTTTTGAGACGGAATCTCACTCTGTCGCCCAGGTTGGAGTGCAGTGGTGCGATCTCGGCTCACTGCAACCTCCGCCCCGCAGGTTCAAGTGATTCTCCTGCTTTAGCCTTCTGAGTAGCTGGGATTACAGGTGCCCGCCACCATGCCTGGATAATTTTTTTTTTTTTTTTTGTATTTTTAGTAGAGGCGGGGTTTCACCATCTTGGTCAGACTGGTCTTAAACTCCTGACCTCGTAATCCACCCACCTCAGCCTCCCAAAGTGCTGGGATTACAAGTGTGAGCCACTGCACTTGGCCCCGACATGTTTTTTTTTTTTTTTTAAAAAAAACATTCAGGCTGGAGTTTGTGTAGACTGTCTCACAGTCTGGGTCTCTTTGATTGTTTCCTCATAACTGATTACATTTATGTTAACTTTTTGTTTTCAAAAATACCACATGGAGGACCTTGTGTACTTTTTTTTATTGCTTCATAGCAAGTAGCACTTAACTTCAATTTTATTTCACTATTGGTGGTGCTAAATTTGATCACTTGGTTAAGGTGGCACTGTGCAATCTGCGTGTTATAAAGGCACCTGTTCCATTAATGAGTGAATGATATTTTTAAACCCAGTAAATATGCAGTATCCCAACATCTTGCACTCAGTAGTTCTAGCATCAATTGATAGCTTGTAGTTGTTTTTACCAAAAGAACATTCATGCTGGGTATGGTGACTTATCCCTGTAATCCTAGCATTTTGGGAGGCCAAGGTGGAAGGATTGCTTGAGCCCAGGATTTGGTGACCAGCCTGGGCAAAATAGGGAGACCGTGTCTCTTAAAAAACAAAAAAACCCCAAAAAACAAAAAAAAATAGCCAAGCATGGTGGCACGTACCTGTGGTCCCAGCTACTTGAGAGTCTGAGGTAGGAGGATCACTTGAACCCAGGAGGTTGAGGTGGCAGTGAGCCGTGATCACAGCCTGGGTGACAGAGTGAGACCCTGTCCCCCACACCAAGAAAGAAAGAGAGAGAGAAAGAAAGAGAGAGAGAGAGAAAGAAAGAAAGTTCCATTTACAAAATTAGTTCATGTGCTTCAATTTAACAAATAAATATATATATATATAAATGCAAGACAAAGAAAATGATAATTATAAGGGTTTTAATAATATTTGAATATAATTAATGCCTTTATAATTTTTTTACTCCAGCATAACCTCAACATTGAGGCCAACAAACAAATTTAGCTGTTTGTTGGCATATAAATAAAGATGGGAGTGGGTTCATAGTAAAGCTTTGAGGACCAGTGCTACCTTCTTTATGAACTAGAGCTACTTAGAGATTAAGCATATGCAAAATCCAGATATAACCATAGGAAAATACTGTTAACTTTTGAATTTGCTAAAAATTACTTGAATTATTTTTCTGTGTTTCTCACTTAAGTGCTGTCCAGACTGTTCATTTATTTGTTTATATATTTGAAGAGAAAATAAAAGCAGAGGGGGCATGTGGGAAGCAGAGCTGTGATGCCAAAGCCCTCCCTAAAGAGTCCCTTTTTGATTGAGGCATTTTTTAAAAGAGACATTCAAAATAACGTCTAATGAATTAGCCAGGTTTGAAAAAGCAAGAAAACACAATCCACAAACACTTCCTACACAGGTCAGGTCAGCACCCTTCCAGAAAACTTTGAAATTGTTCTAAGAAAGACAAATTAAATTATGAAGAGATTTCAGCCATTTCCTGGTACAGAATACAGTGAAAAACGATAGCAAGATCTTTCATTAGGGAAAGTGAAAGGCAAGTGAATACATAATAGCAGTACACAACATTATGGAGGGTATTAAAGGTGACGAAATCTACACTGCAAGGGGAAGAGTTTTAAGATCAGTAAAGTTTTACACAGTTGCAAGTAAACACCTGGAATGTGTTGCTATTAGAGACTCTTAGGCTAAATTTAAGAAATTTGACTTAAATTAACAGGTGATAAATAGGAGGGTAAATAAAAGCTAATAATATTTTAGTAGAATTGTGGGAACAGCAACTACCAATTTTCCTTTTTTTTTCTATTTTCAGATACTCTCCTTTAAAAAGTTATACCATAGAGCAATATAAAAATCCCTATAGTTCTATGTTTTAGACTATATACATATGTTTTGGAAATTTATGTTACTTCTACTTTCAAAAACAATAAGGAAAAACCACAGTTATCAACTCTTACATGTTGATTTTCAAATTAGTATTTTTCTCATTATAAAATAATATACATTTATTTCTGATACTAGTAATTAAGAGGAGTAATGCATTATCAAACAACTGAAAAGTGGCTGCTATGAACACTTAATGTATTCCTTTTTAAAATTATTAACAGTTATATTTGGATTATACTGCCATGTAGCTGTATACCCTACCCCATGTATTGATTTTTTAAATATATAAATGAGTTTGAAACCTATAAGAAGAAGAGCTTCGAGCTGGGCACAGTGGCTCACACCTGTAATCTCAGCACTTTGGGAGGCCAAGGCGGGCGGATAACCTGAGGCCAGGAGTTCAAGACCAGCCTGGCCAATATGGCAAAACCCCATCTCTACTAAAAGTACAAAAATAGCCAGGCATGATAGTGGGTGCCTGTAATCTCAGCTATTCGGGAGGCTGAGGCATGAGGATCACTTGAACCCAGGAGACAGAGGTTGCAGTGAGCAGAGATCATGGCACTGTACTCCTGCCAGGGTGACAGAGCAAAATCCTGTCTCAAAGGAAAAAAAAGAAGAGCTTATTTTTTAAGTAATTTCAACTTTTATTTTATATTCAGGGGTACAAGTGCAGGTTTGTTACATGGGCATACTGCATGATGCTGAGGTTTGAGATATGAGTGATCCTGCTACTTAGATAGTGAGCGTAGTTTCCATTAGTTTGTTTTTCAAACCTTGCCCTGCTCCCTCCCTCCCTCCTCTATTAGTCCACAGTGTCTACTGTTGCCATCTCTATGTCTACGAGTATCCAGAGTTTAGCTCCCACTTATAAATGAGAACATGTGGCATTTGGATTTCTGTCCCTGCATTAATTTGCTTAGGATAATGGCCTCCAGCTGCATCCACGTTGCTGCAAAGAATATACTTTCATTCTTTTTTATGGTTGTGTTATATTCCATGTTGTATATGTACTACATTTTATTTAATCCACCACTGATGGGCACCTAGGTTGATTACATGTCTTTGCTATTGTAAATAGTGCTGTGTTGAACATACAAGTGCATAAGTCTTTTTGGTAGAAACATTTATTTTCTTTGGGATACATACCCAGTGAAGGGATTGCTCGATCAAATGGTAGTTCCGTTTTAAGTTCTTTGAGCAATCTTCAAACTGCTTTCCGCAGTGGCTGAACTAATTTACATTCCCACCAACAGTGTTTAAGCATTTCTTTTTCTCTGCAACTTTGCCCTCATGTGTTGGGTTTTCACCCTTTATTAATAGCCATTCTAACTGGTGTAAGATGGTATCTCATTGTGGGTTTGATTTGCATTTCTCTGATAATTAGTGTTGTGGAGCATTTTTTCATGTGTTTGCTGGCCACTTGTATGTCTTCCTTTGAGAAGTGTCTGTTCATGTCTTTTGCCCCTTTATAAAATGGGATTGTTTGGTTTTTGCTTGTTCAATTGTTTCAGATCCTTATAGATCCCGGATATTAGGCATTTGTCAGATTCATAGTTTGGAAAAATCTGCTATTCTGTAGCTTGTCAGTTTACTCTGTTGATAGTTTCTTTTGTTGTGCAGCTCTTTAGTTTAATTAGATCCCACTTGTCAATTTTTGTTTTTGTTGCAATTGCTTTTGAGGACTTAATCATAAATTATTTCCCAAGGTTAATGTCCAGAATGGTATTTCTTAAGTTTTCTTCTAGAATTCTTAGAGTTTGCGGTCTTATATTTAAATACTTAATCCACTTTAAGTTAATTTTTGTATATGGTGAAAGCAGGTGTCCAATTTCATCGTTCTCCATGTGGTTAGCTGTCTATCCCAGCACCATTTATTGAATAGGGAGTCCTTTCTCCATTGCTTTTTTTTGTCAATATAATTGAAGATCAGATGGCTGTAGGTGTGTGGTGTTATTTCTTGGTTCTCTACTTTGTTTCATTGGTCTCTGTTTCTCTTTTTGTACTAGTACTGTGATGTTTTGATTATTGTAAACTTATAGTTTGAAGTCAGGTAATGTGAGGTCTCCAGCTTTGTTCTTTTTTGCTTAGAATTGCTTTGGTATTTGGGCTCTTTTTTGGTTTCATATTAATTTTAAAATAGTTTTTTTCCTAGTTCTCTGAAAAATTATGTTGATAGCTTAGTAGGAGTATTGTTGAATATGTAGATTCTTTGGCCAGTATGACCACTTTAATGGTATTTATTCTTCCAGTCCATGAGCATGGAAAGTTTTTCCATTTGTTTGTGCCATCTATGATTTCTATCAGCAGTGTTTTGTAGTTCCACTTGTAGAGATCCTTCACCTCCTTGGTTAGGTGTATTCCTAGGTATTTTTTGCGTTGCTATTGTAAATGGGATTGCATTCTTGATTTGGTTCTCATGTTGAACATTATGGGTGTATAGAAATGGAACCAATTTTTCTGTATTGATTTTGTAAACTGAAACTTTACTGAGGTTACTTATGAGTGTCATATACTGGGGATCTTCACAAATAATAACATAATGAAACAAAAACTCAACTAAGCATATAAAATAGGTCTCCTGGTAAGATAAGCTTTAAACATCCTGCCAGGTTTCTCTGTTTAGCAACTTAGATAGAAGGTCATCTGGGTAGAAAACTTTTTTGCCTCCTTCTAAAGCTCTTAAATGATCATTTTTAGTTATAAAAATGCAAATCTAGGAGGTGTCATTTTCCCTTCTGAAACGTTTCTCTAGCTGAACCAGTGTTACTATTTTTACCATTCTTGTTTGGCACATTCCTGGAAGTCACAGGGTAAATATTCCCTGGATTCAGGAGACCTTCTGGGTGAAAGTTTCAAACCTGACTCCATTTTGAGATTCAGTGGATGGATGGGAGTGGCTGTGACTGTGATATGGGGGCAGAAAAGGACAATACAGGCCCCAGAGGAGAACGCCTTGTAGGGAGAGCAGAGCTTGGACTGGCCATCTGAGTTTTTCAGCAAGCTCTGGCATTTTGTGGAGAAGGCTGGATGGCAGCAGAGTCCATGGCTGAAGCTGTACACACTCAGGGCTCAGTTACCCTGCCATAATGCCATGACTGGGAGAGAAAAGCCAAGTCTGTGAGTCTAAACTAAAAAACCTATTTTTTTTTTTTTTTTTACATCCAATTCTGGGCTATCACCAGGTCCTGTGCAGAGAACTGAACTAATAAGGACATTGTAGTAGACACAGTCCCACACACAGCACCATGAAAAGAGCCAGGCAAGAATATCACTTTCATTGATTTGACACTCATTTTCTGATTCCCTCTGGCACTTGGAAATAGCCCTAATGCCTTTAAACTGAGTATGACTCCATGTGTCTTTAGAATTTTCAGATGAGCAGTTTGAGAGGAAAATCCTGGACTGCCTATTTATGAGGCTCAATTGTAAAATGTGGGAAAGCAAACAACATGAACAAATAAACAATATATTTGAATTTCAAGGAGATATGTACAGTGATATACAGTTTACACAATTCTCTCCAGGCATGAGGGAGAGCCAGAGAGGCTAACAGACCTAAATGGTTGCTTTTATCCAAGTTTCTATTGCTCTCAGGACAGAAGAAACTAACCAGATAGAACCATCTGACATCAAAAAATATGCACCCAGTCTCTAGCTGGCATTAGCGATTTTTGTTTTCATCTAGACTTTTAAAAAACAGAATTCTAACCATTAAATGTGCAGAAAGTTAGACAGTCTCTTAATTTAGTTTCCTTAGCATGCTTAACTAATACCTTAATTCTACATGAGGAGGAATGCCCAGTCTCCCACTTTTAAAGGGCCTAAGAAACGGTTGTCATTATGCTTTTCCTATCTACTTTAGCAAGGTTATATATTTGCCAAAATTTGTACCCTGTTCATTCCGAATCTTTACTTGACTGATTCATAGAAAATTGGTCTTAGCCTGGCTACTGAACTGTTTATGTTTTATTTAAGTATAAAATTATAGTCCTCCAAGTAGCTCATTGTTACCTATGTTTACTGAATAATTACCTTGGTAAATGCAGCTCTCCCTTTTCAGACAATTAAACAAATATTTATAGAAATATAGAATGTACCCAATCTACGAAGCCTTAAAACTTAGCTAAATTTTAACAATTATTAGTAAAAGATGAATGTGTTCCAACGGCCCTTCTACTTCTTCCTCACCTACCTCCAATCTATGAGGATGATTCTTCTTTAGGGAAAAAGGAAATAAACTATCTGTGCACTTAATCAGGCTAGACCAGGCTATTTGGTAGCTGTCACTTGAAATAGATGTGATGTCACCTTTTTGTGAATAAATGAAAACATGCCCCTTAAATAAATGATAAACAGGAACCAGCAGCCATAGAGTATAAGGAGGAAGGTGAGGGGGAGAGGCAGGTGTAATAAAAATAAATAAATAAGTGAACCAAAAGGATTTTACAAAGTGCAATGATAAATCTCTCTGGGCTCTAGTTGTTGCGTTTATTTGAAAGACACGAAGCACCTTTTGGGTGCTCCTTAAACCATTTTATCTTTACCTGTGCACAGTTTGACAATCGCTTTTTTACTTCAGGGAAAGAGTAAAGGACAGAAAAGAAAAATTGAAACAAAAAAAGGACAATAAAAGAATAGACAGAGCTCACAAACTTGAGTTATTGCTAACGTCCTAATAATATCCCTTTCAGTTCACTCTTTCACCAGCATAGGATCCAGGAATGAGGAATCTTGCGGGAATTTTGTATCCATAGCTTCCTCAGCATTTGAAGATGGAACAGTCAAGCTGAGTTACTGTCTAGATAGGAAGAAAAATGAACTATTAAAACTGCAGAAAATGGTAAAGCTGATAAATTATATTGTATCCCTGTCAGCTGTTTTCTTACCGTAAACTCTGGGATAGGAGTAGATTGATTTAAAGGATAAGAAAATAAAAGGGACTTGAAGGAGAGGAAAATGTTTATTGAGAAAGTGATAGAATCACATATAGGGAGTGATCTCTTATCACTTGAGAAAACAATGAAATTCAAAATATCGTATTCTTTCTTTATCAAATACTATATCTCTGAACCAAAAGTAGACAAATCAAGCCTCAGAAGGATCGAAAATATAGTAAACAGGAAATCAGTCCTAATGCTGTCAATAAGAAAGTTATTTCCCAGTAACCCTGCCCAAACTCCCATCTTTCTATTTTCCCTCAGATCTGGAAGCACTTCAAGTCATCATCGAAACCATAGACAGTTGTCAGTTCCTGTTGTTACTCTGGGCTGTGAGTGGGCCACACCCGGGGAACACTCTCCAAGGTCCTTCAGACTGGGCAGCCACTTAGTCCTCAAGGTACTGCTACATTTTTAGGGTTTGTAGTGGTAGACCCCCAGTAGTCCCAAGTACCCAAATCTCTTCCAGTTACTATGGCTGCATAACAAAGCATCCCAAAACTTAGTGGCATAAAGCAACCATTTCTATGTTCATGGATTGAGTTGTTCAGGTGTTTGGACAAAATGCAGCGGAGATAGCTTCCTCTGCTCCCTGATGTGTTCTGAGGTCTCAGTGGAAGACTGGAAGTTTGGAACTAGGATCATCTGAAGGTACTGTAGTCACTTAATGTGTGGTTGTTGATGCTGACTGGTCTGGGAGCCTTGGTTTCTCTCCCTGTGGGCCTCTTCATTTGACCTCTCTAAGTGAACTTGTTTGGGCTTCCCTTCAGCATGGTTGCTGTATTCCAAGGGCAAATATCCCAAGAGAAAGACAGCCAAGAGGAAGCTATGTGGTCTTTCCTAATCTAGCTGTGGAAGTCATGTAGTATTATTTCTGCCCAGAAATAAAAGTGAAAAACCTGCCCAGGTCCAAGCAGAAAGGGAGGATGAGAGGAGGCTTCCCCTCTTGATAGGAAGTTGGCGAGGTTCTGGAAGAGCATGAGGGATCAGAAATATTGCCATGATGTTTTTTTGAAAATATAATATGCTCCAATGAGGAAACTATAGCATAGAGTAGTTAAGAGATTTAGTCAGCAGATCCACAGCTGGTAAGGTCTGGGGCAGAGAACAAATCCTTCTTTCAATTATGCAACAGTAAGGACGTACTAACCCCAGCTGAATGGGAGTTGCCCTTGGTGATGGTTAATACCAAGTGTCAACTTGACTGGATTGAAGGATGCAAAGTATAATCCTGGGTGTGTCTGTGAGGGTGTTGACAAAGGAGATTCATATTTGAGTCAGTGCATTGGGGGAATGAAGACCCACCCTTAATCTGGGTGGGCACCATCTAATCAGTTGCCAGCGAATATAAAGCAGGCAGAAAAACATGAAAAGGCTAGACTGGCTTAGCCTCCCAGCCTACATCTTCCTCCTATGCTGGATGCTTCCTGCCCTCGAACATCAAACTCCAAGTTCTTCAGCTTTGGGACTCGAACTGGCTTCCTTGCTTCTCAGCTTGCAGACAGCCTATTGTGGGACCTTGTGATTGTGTGAGTTAATACTACTTAATAAATTCCCCTTTCTGTATACATAGATATCCTATTAGTTCTGTCCCTCTAGAAAACCCTGACTAATAGATCCTGATGGAGAGGTGACATCTTCAGGGAAATAAAATTTCATAAAAAGACAAAATGAAAGCAAACTGGGGTACTTCACAAAACTGGCATCACACCAGGCTGGTTCATGGGAATTAAATATTATTTGAATGACTTTTGGTCAAGTAGCCATAAAGAAGCTTCCAACTTTAAAACTCTATAAATTTTAAGTTAAGTTTGATCACAATTATGGCTAAGGTTTTTGCAGATGTAAACTGTAGTATTGATTTTAATATGTAAATGATGCGAAAGGAATACTCAGCATATGTATAATCACAAATCAGGACCTACGCAGTGAGATATATGCCAATATCAAAGGATTGCGAGTAGTAGACAAAACATTTCTGCAAGTATTCTAACTAGTTAACATATAAAACATGCTGTAATAAAGTTGGCCTTTAAAAACCTGTGTAGTAATTTCTGATTACGATTGTTTATATTATATAAATCTAAAAAAGATACATAAATTTCAATACAATTATTATATGTAAGTATTATATTAGGAGGGCAACCTCTTTATTAAAAATACCATAGCTGCAAAAGGGTCAGTGATAGGAAAAATATATATCCGTACTACTGGGGAGAAGGAGTTACATTTAATGGGACACTTTAGCCTGTTCCCCGCTCCCCAACAAGAGATTGAGACAAATTCTTGTATTCAGTTAGTGTATGTGGTAATGTGTCTTGGGAGTTGGCGATTCAGAGAGTGGTATAAAAGATCTAGCAGAGAAAAGCAACATGTGGGTGAGGCTTTGTGTTAGCCACTCTATCCCAAAAGAAGCCTCGGAGGACACTAATGAAATAGACCTTAGATCTCCTTCCCTAGGGAATGAAAGAAGAGAAGCTTTTATCTGCTGTCTCCCATCATTTGCTGGACGATGATGGTCAAATGGGCATTCACACTCCTCCACTCCTGGGTTGTGTATGCCTGAGAGCAGAGCAAATTCTCCCCGTTCCCCCATTTCAGGCATTCAGAAGAGCTACAGCAGAGAATGGAGGTATGCAGTACAGGAGTGAGGCAATGTGTCACCCACATATACCTGTGCAAGACTAGAGTAAATTTCTCCTTTAAATTTACGTAAAATGCACAGATCGTAAGGGTTTATTTAAAAGGGTGTTGAGCGTCTTCTATTATAGGCGAAACCATCACCTCATATGACTGTTACCATCACCCTAGAAGGGCTCTAAATTCTCTTTCTCTTCAATGCTTCCCAACTATTTTCTGACTTCTATCACTGTAAAGTGGGGATTTAATTTTAATTTATCTGTTTTATAACAATGTAATAAAAAGTATATGTTCCTCTGTCCATGGCTTCTGTCACTCAACATAATGTTTTGGAAGTTCATCCACGTGATGATGGGTAGCTGTAGTACACTTTTAAAGAAAGTTGTTGGCTAGTATTTTTCTGGTGGAATAGATCACTATTTGCTTATCCAGTTCCTTATTGATGGCATTGTTGTTTCCCGTTTTGCGGCCTTATGAATAAGTTTGCTCTGAAAAATCTTGTACCAGTTCTTTTGTGGAAATATGTTTATATTTCTTTGGCGGGGTAAACACTTAGGAATGGAATTCCTGGGTCATAGAGTATATATTTAGCTCTAGCACAATGGTGCTGAGCAGTTTACGTATGATGGGGCCATTTTACAGTCCCATGAGTTGTTTCAAACCCTTGCCAATGGAGTATGTTTCCTGTTGTTGTTGTTGTTGTTTTTTCAAACAATAATCATTCTAGTGGGTGCAGAATGGTATCTCATTCTAGTTTTAGTTTGCGTTTCCCTAAAGACTAATGAAGTGGAGCACCTTGTTTGCTTACTGGCCATTTTTTATCTTTGGTGAAGTATCTGTTCAAGTCTTTGCCCATTTTTCATTTCTGTTGCTGTGTAATAAATTCCCACAAACGTAGTAGCCTAAAACAGCACAAATTTATTTTGTATTACAGTTCTGTAGGTGAGAAGTCTGATGCAGGTCTCAGTGGGCTGAAATCGAGGTGTTGGCAGAGCTGCACTCCTCTCTGCAGGCTCTAGAGCAGAGTCCCTTTCTTTGCTGTTTGCAATTTCTAGAGGCTGCACATATTCCTTTGCCTGTGGACCCTTCCTCTGTCTTCAAGCCAAGCCTGTTGCATTTCTCTAACCATTCTTCTGTAGTCACAAATCCCTGACTAACTAAAGTACAGAGTAGTCACTCAAAGTAATTTGCTCTGAACTCAGCAAGGAAGGGTTCTCCAATTGTAAGAAGGCTTGTCATGAGATTGAGAGCACCCAGGTCCTCCAAGACGATCTTTCCATCTCCAGATCCTTAATTCAATCACATCACATCTACAAGTGCCGTTTGCCAAGCAAGGTAACATAGTCACAGGTGCTGGAGGTTATAATATAAGCATCTTTGAAGTGGAGGACATTATTCTGCCTACCACAGTCACTTGTTTTTTTTTGTGGTTGATTTTTACATCTTTAAATTTTCATTTTTATGAATTCCAATTTGTCATTTTTTTCTTTTTTGTCCTTTTCATTTTGGTGCTTCTTATATCCTGTAAAAAATTGTCCTATTCCAATGCGATGAACATATGATCCTTTTTTTTTTTCTAGAAGCTTTATTGTTCTAGCTTTTATGTTTAGGTTTATAATTCTTCCTGGATTAAAGTTGTGCATTAAGTAACATCTAGGTCACGGTTCTTGTCTTTAGTAAAAATATTTATTTATTTGTTCCAACACTGTATGTTGAAAGATATCCCCATTAAGTTGAATTGGTACTGTGGCCATAAATTAGTTCTACAGGGTCTATTTGTGGTGGGTTACATTTATCCATTTTTGTGTGCTTAGTACATTACTACACTCTCACGATTACCACAGCACTGTAGCAAATTTTGGAATCAGATAATAAAAAGATCTTTCAATTTTGTTCTTCTTTTAAAAATTCCTTTACCTATTCTAGGTGGTTTACAATAGATGGAAATTTTTTGATTAGCTTGTCAATTTTACCAAAACCCTGATGAAATTTTGAAAATTTGGAGTGAAAGACTATATTGAAAATATTGACTCTCCAGATGGATGAATGTTGTATTTCGTTTCAGTATTTAGGTTTTTCTTATTGTCAAGTTTGGTGAAACTCTTCTAATATTTAACTAATAATTATAATGTCAGATGTAGATTTTCCATAGATGTGTTTCATTATTTAAGGAAGTTTCTCTCATTTTCTAGTTGCTGAGAGGTTTTATTATAAATAGGTGTTGAATTTTGTCAAGACCTCTTTCCAGCATCAGTTGAGATAATCATAGGGGTTTTCTCTTCATTCTGTTCATATGGTGAATTATATCAATCAATTGATTTTTCCTAATGTTAAACCAAGCTTACATTTCTGGGGTAAACCCACTGGTCACGGTGTATTTCTTTCATGATGTCATGATGTATTAGAGGGCTTGATTTGCTAATGATTATTATAGAATTTTGCATGTGTAGCCTGAGAGTTTCTGATCTAAACTTTTTGTTTGGCTGAGTTGTCATTGTCAGACTTGTTTCAACAGTACAGAAACCTCATAAAATGGGTTGGGAGGTTTTTCTGACTGCCCCTAAAATTGGTATAATGTTTCAGTTCTTAAGCTAGAAACTAAGATGACTGTACATCATTCTTTTACAATCAATAAACCAATAAGTATAAATTTTCTTCGAAGCATTGTTTCATCATCATTCTACAATTTTTAATGTTACATTCTCATATTTGTTCCGTTGGAAAGTTTTGAATATCCCTTGTGATTTCTCCTTTCACCATAAATTATTTATAAGTAAGTAATTTCACTTGTTTTCCAAATAAAGTAGATTAATATATTGTTAGCCACAGACATGTTTAAATTTTCATATGAAAGATTCAAATGCTATAGATTGAAATAATTTTACTAATATATTTTGTACATATGTATGTTTTATATATAACATTTAATAATTTAACCCAACATCCAACATAATTTAAATATATAATCATTATTAATATTTTCTTTTAAAATATATAAAAGTCTTTACAATTTTATATGTATTTTTATCCTTACAACACATCTCATTTTGGTTTAACTACATTTCAAGTTCTCAGCCATATGTGTATACTGGCTACCGTATTTGTGACAACAAAGGCTGGAGTTAAGAAGTGAAGTAGAGAGGATTTTGGAAGAGAAAAGAGTCCAGAACAATGGCATTTGTGCAAACAGGATCCTCTCTATTTTGTTAGGCCTGCATTTGGTTTTATAAAAGTATTCTGGATACTTTTACAACATTGTCTATTGAAGTTTTTATTGAAGAGATATTTGTCACAAACAAAAGACACATTGAGAACACAAATCGCACATTGAGGACATTGAACATACTTAGTTTGGAGTATTTTTAAAAGGCAGACAGAAAAGGAAAAACACACAAATTTTTTTTTTTTTTTTTTTTTTTTTGAGACGGAGTCTTGCTGTTTTGCCCCGGCCGGAGTGCGGTGGCGCTATCTTGGCTCACTGCAAGCTCCGCCTCCCGGGTTCACGCCATTCTCGTGCCTCAGCCTCCCGAGTAGCTGGGACTACAGGCGAAAATTATTTTTAAGTTGATCCAGAATTTCAATTTTTTTTTAACTTTTTACTGCCTTGGTATAGAAAAAGATAAATTTGATTAAAGTAGGTAAAAAAATGTAAACTTCAACATTCTGTAAACTAGATTACTAACAACCTTTGAAAATGATTTTTCTGTTAGCATGTGTAAAACTTTTGATAATTTATCCATAATTAATTATTTTTCTTTTATTTCAGTGTTAAATAGGATAGTAACGCTAGGTAAGATATGTTTACATCTATTCACCCATTCTTTTTCTTGTATGTCTCTAATCAATGATTATGTTGGAGAAAGTCTATGTTTATAATTGCAGAAACTGCCAAAATAATTTCCCAAGACCTTTATTTTATAGCTTTCCAAAACTAGAACAGTAAGTTTAATTTCAGTCTGTAAAATGAAAAAGTTACAGCTAGTGTTTAATATTGCTATCAGAGAGATTAGACCATAATAATTTCAGGGGAATGTTAACTTTTTCTAATGATAAATGACATCTCTCAATTTACTAAGCTAATGTTACTGATTGACTGTCAGTAGAATGGGAGATATGAGGATTTTTTCTAGTTGTAGTATTTGCTTTTTAATTTATACTGTAAACTAACTTTCCCAATCCTAGAACCAAGCCCTTCCTAAGTAGGGGCTCCATAAATGTTTATTGACTTGACTGATACATCCCAAAAGAGAAGAAGCATAGCTGGAGTTCGATTATGGTCCGTAATAATGTAATCACCCGGCCCCTAAGTATGCCGAATCTGTAACCATGTTAGTATGTGCCCTCAAACCAGTTAAACATAGTTGACCCTTGAACAACATGGGTTTGAACTTCATGGATTCACTCACATGTGGATTTTCTTCTGCCTCTACCACCCTTGAGAAAGCAAAACCAACCATTCCTCTTCCTCTTTCTCCTCCACCTACTCAAAGTGAAGACAACAAGGAGGAAGACCTTTATGTTGATGATCCAGGTCCACTTAATGAATAGTAAATATATTTTCTTTTCTTTTCTTTTTTTTTTTTTTTGAGACAGGGTCTTTCTTGCTCTGTCATCCAGCACTGGAGCAATCACAGCTCACTGTAGCCTCAACCTCCTCTGGGCTCAAGTGATCTTCCTGCCTCAGCCTCTGGTGTACCTAGACTACAGGCACACACCGCCACACTCGGCTGATTTTTTTCTTTTTTGTGGAGATGGCGGTCTCACTAAGTTGCCCAGGCTGGTATCGAACTCCTGGCACCAAGTGATCCTCCTGCCTAGGCTTCCCAAAATGCTAGGATTATAGGCATAAGCCACTGGGGCTGGCCTCTTTTATTGTGACTCTCCTAGTAACATTTTCCTTTTTATAACTTAAGAATACAGTATGTAATACATACAGCATATAAAATAAGTGTTAATCAACTGTTTGTTTATGTTATTGGTGAGGCTTCCAGTGAATAGTAGGTTATTAGTAGTTAAATTTTGGAGTTGTCAAAAGTTACACATAGATTTTCAGCTGTGGTGGTGACAGTGTCCCTTCCCCCATTTTGTTCAAGGGTCAAGTGTAATTGCATCAAAAAAATCTAACATCTGCATAGATGTATAAAGCATCAGTAATAACATCCAAATTTTCTATTAAAATATCCATATAAGACACAATTTAGTAACCCATAGTCCTTAGTTCTAGTTGTGACTGTCACTAATGAAGTAGTAACATAAAGTAGACCTTTGACATCTTTGTTCCTCAGTTACTTTAGCTGCTAAAAGATAAGCCACTTTATTATGTTCCTAAGGATTGCTGGACGTTTAAAATGAAATAACAGATGTGAAAGCAATTTCTACATTTATAGGTGTATCATATATTCACACAACATGTGTTGTTAATATCATTGCACGTTCTTAGATGATTGATGCACAAAGACGTCACTCTCCAATGCAAATGCTCGTTCATATGGATAAAGTCTGTAATGGCATGTGGGTAACAGAGTGAGAATGGGCTAACATAAGATGTATACCTAAACTTTGAGGATAAAGGACTTTTTTGTGTTTTGCTTCCACTCTAAAACTGAACTAAATATTTAGTAGGCATTTCTATTAGATGTTGCTTTTATTTATATTAATTATATTTGTGTATGCCTATATATGTGTATACACATGTGTATATATACTTACATATACATGTATTTATTTAGATTTATTGCATGTCATCAGGAAATATCCACAACTTACAATGACTGATTCCTAGTTCATAATATGTTTGAGGAGGCAAATCTTAAATGAGTATTTAAAATCAGCTACTTTCTAAGTGTATGGGAGGAAAATATGAGAATCTATTATGTGATGTTTGCACAAGATTAAGACAAATTCTTCACTTCTTTAGGTGTTGTGACTTACCACTCATCAGTCTCCACTATCCCCAATTTCATTTTGTATGTGCATTTATACTGGAAAAAGAAAGAGTCAGCAATTCCAGCAGCTCGATACCACTCTCAACCCTTTCAGTGTGGAGCACCACCACATTTGGATTGCAGCTTAAAGGTCTCGTTGATAGAGTCACCCCATGTAAGACATTCGGGGTTTAAACAAGTCACATTTGCAAGTAACATGCGCGTAGTTCTTGGGGCAGCATTCATTTGTTTCAACCTTCTCACCTTCCCCTCTCCATCTTCATTCCACCTATATAAATAGCGCTTAGCTTCTTTTGAGCTTAACGAACATTCTTAAATGTTATGAGAAAATAGCAGAGTCAGGGAAAAATACATGCCATAAAAAATGTGCAAGTGAAGTAGCATTGTCACTGCGTCTGTTCCAGTGCAGATCACAGCTCGATGGCCTCAATGTGAGTCCTTCTGCGCCCAGTAAAAATGAAAACAACATTGTAATAAATTAGCTGGAACTGCACTTCCCTAGGTGTTCAGTGACAGCTTGATAAATAACCCCAGGCACTACAATTTGGCTTTCCCTCTGCCAGGGTTTTCTGCCATAATATTTTCAGGCCTTAAGTCATGGTCATCAACACTTGATTAATACAGGGAGGGACGGTTAAGATAACATGAGGGATGTATTTCCTTGAACAGGATAATGTGGCAACAGTATAATATTTTATCTGGGTTAAGCATTTATTGATCATTACAAGAATGAACATTCTTATATATAATTAGTAACCGTAATGTCCCATAGAGGCACGTTGTAGGTTTGTTTTTGATGATTGAGATATATTTCCTTATCTTCTCATTTTCTCATTTTGTGACAGGGGTACTTAAATCTCAAATCTCATAGCACTATTTTTGTGTGTCGAGTTTATTCCGCAGTACATACTCCATTACATATATATATAAAATATATATATACACACACACATACATATATCTGCACACATATACCTGTATATATAAATTATGTATATAATACAATTGTGTTTTATAAATATTTATACCACATTCACTTAACCTCAGTCCATCAAATAAATTCAGTTATATTTGTATAAGTTTCACAGGGAAAGAATAACTTAGCATATAACTTTTCTATTTAAACTACTATTGTCAGAAATAAATCTGTATTTGCTCTCTGTATCCCAGTCATCTTTATTCTCTGATGAAAAAAAGGTAACCATAAACATTCGTTTTCCATTAATTATTGCACCAGAGAAAAATCAATGTTCAAATAAATAACAATAAAACTGATTTGTACTGAATAGCAAAGCTGGATAAAGGAAGAAGAAATCATTTGTTTTTATTTTTGGAGGGATGGCTTGCATAATTAACTAACTTAACTCTAAGATGCTGAACATAATGTAGTCACTCTACATACATTTATTTATTGGAGCACTTCCCATCCCTTAGGCCCTATAGAATATAATGAGTTTAGACCCCATGCTTCCCTCTACTTGGGCTGAGTGTGTTTGCTGTGTGAGCACAGCTGTGCTGTGTTTCTGCGTATACATTTAAAGAGAGCAATAACAACAACTGTTACATATTCAGTAGCTAATATGTACTGGGTACTGTTTTAAGAGTTTTACATTTTTATCTCACTTAGTTTGCAAAATGACTATATTGGGTAGGTATGTTCTATCCCCTTTTTAACGATGAGGAAACGAGAGCAAGTATTTGAGTTAGCTGAAATCACCTAATGAGAAAATGGCAAGATGAGATTCAAAACCAGTAAGTCTGTCTCAGGAGCCTGAGCTCCTGAACAATGAGCTGTACTTCAAAATAAAGGGATTTGGCATTGGAGGCAGAGGAAAAAAAGCATAACAATTGCAAATGGGCTTTCCCCTAAAATACATTTTTTTTTAATTTCTTAAGGCTAAGTATAACTGGATTTCATGGAATCCTTGAAAAATCTCATCTAGGAAATTCTTCTGATTAAATTCATCACACTTCCATCATTCCTTTACTATACTCATTCTATTTCAATAAAGAGTCAAATTCAAATTTGACAGATCTGAATGATCAGAAAAATTGCTGCAGTACATCCAATCATTGTTAACATGGAAACACACTGTTATTGAATATTGAAGGTTTACCCTGCATTAAAAATGAACAGTAAAGGGAGCTTCTTTCTTTTGTCTGACCCAGAGCAGGACTTGCACTTATTCCTTTTGCAGGAAAAATGTTTGACTGGATAGGATCCATGTCTTACTTGTCTTTGTAGTCCTAGAGCCTAGTTCTGCATATGATACATAACAAGCACTCATTAAATATTTGTTACACCAGACATGCCTAATTGACCTCAAGATATTCATCAAAACATTTTATTGCACAATTTAGATAAGTGGAGTGTTCACATAGATTAAGGTCTTAGTTACAAAACCTTTGGGTTACGAATGGCAAAAAACAAAACAAAACAAAAACAAAAACAAAAAACCTTTGTGGCCAGGCACGGTGGCATATGCCTGTAATCCTAGGACTTTGGCATGCCAAGGCAGGCATCTTGAGTCCAGGAGTTCGAGAACAGCGTGGGCAACATAGCAAAACCCCATCTCTACAGAAAGTACAAAATTAGCTGGGCATGGTGGTGCGTGCCAGTACTCCTAGCTACTCAAGAGGCTGAGGTAGGAGGATCTGCCTGAGCCCAGGAGGCTGAGGCTGCAGTGAGCCATAACTGCACCACTGCATTCCAGCCTGGGCGACAGTCAGACCCTGTCTCAAAAAACAAACGACAAACCAAAAATCCCACCTTTGCCTCATCTAAATATAAACTTATGAATTTATTAGAAGGATACATGGGATTCAAGATCAAAAACATAAAACAGAGCACCAGTAACAAACTCGAGTGGCCCCAGTGATTCCCCTCCTCACTCGTTCTTTCAACATTTATTCTCTCTCAGAATCTCTTCATTCTTTCCTTACTTCCTCACCTAGATTTTTCTGCTATGTCATACACATGACAGAAAACAGTCACTCCAGCCCAGTTCCTACATGAGCTCACAGCAATAGCGCCGCCAACTAACTGACTCAGTCTCTCCATGTTCTAAGTTCTTGGAAGCAAGAATTCAATCGGTCTAGTTTGAGTCAGGGACCTATCTCTGGGCTGCCTGGCTCACTGTCCACTCAAAAGAGGCCATGGAAACACATTCTATGAAAGGTGAAAGCAAGCAGCTGCTCCAAAAAGAGAGGTGTGGGGTGCTAAGTCTATAATTGCAGAGAAAATGATTGATTGGCATCTTTAATGCATTTGTATTCATCTCAGCAAAACGGTACCTGTTTGAGATTCTGCCATTTTGCAAAGAAATACGGTTATATCCTCATGTGCAATTTTTATCCAAACTAACCTACCAGAAGATTTAGAGAAAAATCAACTAAATGTTTATTCAAAAACCAAATATTCCAAATTGAGTGAAGTAAAAGTATGTTGCTTCCATTTTGGTCAGTTTATCCGTGTGAAACGGAATAACTATAAAACACCAAAATACTTTCGTCATTTGATCTCTACTTCCGTTGTCATTACTCAAGACAGTTCAAGTCAATATATTCACAACAAGAAAAAAAGTACACAAAATCAAAACACAATCTCATTTATCTGCATTTTAAATGAAACTAGAGAGATGGGGTTATAAATACTAATTTGCCATTCTATTTTCTTTGAAAGAAATGCCTTTATTCTATAATCATATCCATTTTACATTTTTGCATTATTAATAAAACGGATATGGCATCAGTTTTTTTCTTTTTAACATTACTGTTTGGCAAGTTAAAAGGCTGAAGTATTAAATATGCACTGCAAATATTATTTTTGTTTACTTGTTAGTGAAGGAAAAAATAAAACCACTATTCATTTGTAGTAAAAGCACAGGTATAATAAGAAACTTAACACATTAAAAACAGCAAATAGATAGGAAAGAGGCAATAGCAGAGAAGAGGTCAAGAAGGCAAAGCAAAACTTGAAGTTAAGACAACTAGATATATTTCATGGCTCTGAGTTTCGTAAATGCCTAGTCAGGAGAAATTCAACCCTTTTCTCATTCTCATTTTCACATATGGTGGCTGCTGAATAAAAGCCTCCAAAGATGCCCATCCCTTAACTCTGGTTACCTGTGAACATGTTAGCTTGCATGGCAAAAGGGACTTTGCAGTAATGATTCAAGTTAAGGATCTTGGGATGGGGATTGTCCGGGGGAACCTGATCTAATCATGTGAGTCTTTGAAATTGTGGGGAACATTCCTCAACTGCAGAGAGCCTGAGTGATGGCAGCCTCAGGATTCCACACGTTGTTGCTGGTTCTACAACGTAGGGAGCTACATGCAAGGACAAGAACGAAGGCCAAGAAATCGGAAAAGGAATGGAAATGGATTCTCCCCTAGCATCTCCAGAAATAACACAACCTTGCTGACACCTTGCTTTTAGGACTTCTGATTTCCAGACTGTCAGATAACAAATTTTTCTTGTTTTCAGCCGCTAAATTGGCAGTAATTAATTGCAGCAGCAATAGAAAACTAACACAGATCTGAAGACGCAAGACTGTTTATGGAAAGGAAAAAAAAGTGTCCTTGCTCCTGAGCTTAGAAAGATAACTTTACTCCTAGAAGCTTTATAAAAGGTTAATTAAGCAAGCTAATGAACCATGATCCCAATTGCAATTTTTCAAAACAAAACAAGACAAAATAAAAAGCCAAAGAAAATTGCAGAGGCATTCTTCATATGGCTGTCCTGTTTATTTTTATTCATTAATTTTATTACGTTTAAGATTCTATCTTATTATCTTATTTTTAGTAATAATTTTAAAGTGAAAAATGACCCACAGTAGGAAGTCAGAGGGATGGGGTTCATAGATGAAACCTGGAGAACTTTAAGGAACAAACAAACAGTTAACATAGCCCCAGCTAAAAAAAATCCTTAGATATTAAAATGACATTCATCTCTTACAATAAAAATAATGATAGCATCCTACTGTCCTTTAGGATCATGATTTTGATACCTGAACGGTAGCTTTTTTGACATGAATTCTCTGGAACATACACACTTAGAGAATGGCCTTAAAACAAGGTGTACCTCTGATTTGTAGTAGTCAGTGTATCATGAAGTATACAGTGAGTTGTTAAAATATGGTAAATATTTTAAATAATAATTAAAGTCTTAATCCAAGAGACCATATTGACAGAACTACACACGTTCCTACATTTTAAACTTTTAGGTACAGGCAGTTCTCA